>NC_000011.10:30514545-30666060 GCF_000001405.40 Homo sapiens | reverse complement strand
TTGTTCTAAATCTGTCAGCTTAGGTTCAGTTATGATTCAAAAAGAAATCATCCCAAATCTTATTTCTGTCTCATCTTCATGTCCACTGTGGGGTTGGATATAACAGGTCTACATTCTCTTCTCTCTTATTCATGCCTGAAGGATACGCCTCGATTTGGGATACTGCAGTCTCGTAACAGAGGTTTAATAAAATAAAGGCTTTTTCTTGAAAGTGGCACATGTCCCTTCTCTCACATTTCATTGATCAAAACAAGCCACACTGCCAAATCCTATGTTCTTGAGGAGGAATCATATTCCCCCTATAAGGAGAGACCCAAAATATTTAGAAAATTAATCTACCAAAGACCCTTCTGTACTTCACAAATTTTCTATGAGTATATACAATATTTATTAACAGAAAAATATCTGAGCTGTTGATTTTTAAGGAATTTTACTTTTCTTTAAGTAGAAATTCATTTAGCTGCAAATAATAGAAAATTTGACTTTCAACCGTTTTTAAAAATAAAGCCTGATCTTCTCACATATTTATAAATATGAGGGTAAGTGGCTTCAAGTCTTGGTTAACAACTCAGTCATGTTTGAGCCAACCTCTCATCAATTGTCTTGACTTTTCCCTCGTGTTTACAGCCCATTGTCACAGACAGCCACTGCTGTATGGAGTTACCATCTCCAATGAAGGAAAGAGGAAAGGGAGGTGTGAGAAGCACTGCAGCCACGCCAGTTTCTTTAACAGGAAAGCAAAGGTTTCCAGGTAGATTGCCCCAGCGCCCTGCCCTTATATCCTATTGGTCAGAAATGAGTCACATGAGCACTCTCAGGTACAGTGGGGTTTGGGAACACAGAAAACAGATTGTTGCCATTACTTTTAATGGCATAAACTGCATTACTTTTGCACCAACCTAATAATTGCTATAAAGCAAGCATGACCCTTACTGGGGCTTGGCATATTGGGCCTCAAAGTCGGGCTACGTCAGAAAAGAGGAGTTGGGGACTGAATATTTGCCGTGTGCCTAACACAGAAGTCAAGAGAGTGAAGTTCATTCTGATAAGTGAACCTAGTGGACATTTTAGCTGAACTTAAAAAGACAGTGGGGTTGTGCCCAAAGAGAAGAGTGGTATTTCTTACAAGAAGTGCAGCACGAGCCACAGCAGAAAGGTAGTTTGGTGATATGGTCTGACTGTGTCTCCACCCAAATCTCATCTTGAATTGTAGTTCCCATAATCTCCATGTGTCATCTGAGAGACCCAGTGGGAGGTAATTGAATAGTAGGGGCGGTTACCCCCATGCTGCTGTTCTTATGATAGTGAGTGAGTTCTCACAAGATCTGATGGTTTTATAAGGGGATTTTCCCTCTTTGCTCTACACTTCTTGCTGCAGCCATGTGAAGAAGGACATGTTTGCTTCCCCTTTTGCTATGATTCCTTAAGTTTCCTGAGGCCTCCCCAGCCCTGCAGAACTGTGAGTCCATTAAACCTCTTTCCTTTATAAATTACCCAGTGTTGGGTATGTGTTTATTAGCAGCATGAGAATGGACTAATACATTTGGGAAATGCTAACTGGTTAATCTGATATAATCAAAGTATACCGTGAGGAAATGTAAAGGAGTTGAAGCTGTGGAGATAGGATAGGGTCAGATGATTAATACTAATAGTTTGCATTTACTGACTATTTATTATGGGTCAGATACTTTTATTCCCATCATTTCATTTAATTTTCACAACAACTCCATGATGTAAGTGCTACTATTTTCTCTCCAATTTACGTATGGAGAAGCTAAGTAACTAGCTGAAGGCTGCATAACTAATAAGTGGTAGAGCTAGGGTTGAACCTGATATACACTCTGGTGTTCTGGAATCAGACTGCCTGGAGTCCACACTCCCTCTACCCCTCATTTACACCCCAATCCCTACACCCAAGGAAAAGTGTGGTAGCCACTGAATACCAATTTAAAATCACTGTGGTAGAGAGTCCCTGCATGTGTGGAGGTGGGCATGAAGTAGGAAGGGCCTGAAAATGGGAAGATTTATGGCGGCTGAATCATTGAAGAAGATCCCTCTCTTGTCTGCACCTCTCTAATTAGAGCAAAAGGGAGGCCCTCTTAGCAAGTTCAAAATGTTCGCCACTTTCCCAGCAATTTACCTTATCTGACATGAACAAAAAAGCACACGAGCCAATGGCTGAGGCATAACTTATCCACTGGGAAAGAAGAGATGAGCTAACAATAAGGTTTCCCAGAAACATTTTTCAAGAGCCAGTTCAACTGCTTACAGAGTATTGCCTGAAACAAATAATAAATACTGTCAATCTACACAATAGTTCTTTCCTTTCTCATACCAATTTTAACCATGATGTAAAATGAGGCTTCCAGAATGTGACTTTACAGTCACATGGCCCTCTATTTGCTTTAGAGTATAACAGTTTTCCTTCAGCTTTCACTTTCGTCATCCATGTCCATAAGATTTCTCTATGAAAATCTAACTTCTTCCCCCATCACATTTTTTAAAAGACATAGATACATAATCAAATTCCATAAGATAATAAATACTGGAACATTCTAATTTTTACCTCAAAAACAAACAATTTCAGTGTTCTTCCATTTTATTTTAGGGTGATATTGGTCAGTGTTTCTTAATTGAGCATGATTGTGTAGATGAGTTCTTTGTTATGTTAGACTGTCCAGAGCATTGCGGGATACTTAAGGCTGCCCTTGGCCACCAATAGCATTCCCCAATTATTGTGACATTTAAAAAAATGCCCACACACAAATATTTTCAGGCATCCCCTCCAGAGGCATTTTTCCTTCTTTCTCTTTACTTCCTTCGGAAACACTGGTTAAAGTGACAGAATTAGGGCTTGGGTCTAGCTGTTTATTCATAGGAAATTAATTAATGTTCGTACCTGTAAAAATGGACATGTTAGTATCTACCTTATTGTGTAAGTCAAATGAAGCATGTAATACACAATCCTTGATATACACATAAGCCTTTCCTTGTAAATATGCTAGCTTGCACCAAGCATAAGATATTAACTTTTTTTCTGTTTCTCTGAAAAATGCTTAGATAGGTGAACAGAGTTTTAATTCACTCTTCCATTCCACATTGCTGTAGTCTGACTGCTGTTTATTGAAAAACATAGATAACTTAAAGAAAAATTTAAAAAATTAAGTGTAAAGTAGGATATGGTAGAAAAAATAATGGGAGAGGGAAAAAAACCCATTCTGAAAAAGGTGAGAATTGCAGATCAGTAGTGTTATAGAGTTTCAGAAAGTTCTGTCTCCTTGATTTGTGGGTTCATGGTTTGGAAAATTGATTTATAGATTCGAAAATGATCCTTTAGAATTTTCTTATGGACAGTATTCCCTCCATGAGTGGGAAGTTAAAACAGATAATCCAGAAAGTTCATACCGTTGCTGAAGTTTCAGAAAACTTCTATGATTGGATCTACCAAGCTCCAGCATTAAAGACGTGAATGAGTTTAAATTATTCTAGCCTATAGCACTTCTTTATGTATTGTGACAATGCTACACAGTAGCCTAAAGGAGAATCGCTATTCCTGAGTTGATAATAGACCGAACTGTGGCTTCTATCCACTGGGTTATATCTACAGACTCACAGACATATAAACATTTTTGCCACAGAGACTTAACTAAACAAACAGTATGTGTGGATATTCACAAAAGCTTAACTCCTTTTCAAAAGCAGTTAAAATAAAGAGGAGAAGGAATCTTTGTTAACACCTTGTTGAATATGACCATTTTATTTTAGATTTCAGTCTTGTATAAAACTATTCCAGGAGCAAAAATATTTCCTTAATTAGAAAAATTCACTCTACTGGGTATTTTCTGTTTCCCCTCTATACCATTCTCCACCCTGCTCTGGCCTCTGGCCCCTGGGAGGGAAAGCTTTATAGATTATATCATATGGGCTCCTGGCTCTCTGGTTTACAATGGGTTTGAACAGTAAGAGAGATCAGCAGGAGATGGGTAGATGGAAGAGAAATGAGAGGGAAGTATTTCTTCTCCTGGCTCCTTCATTATATGGTCATGGCAATATTGGCTGCATTTTTCAGTCAAATGCCATAGCTCTTGCTTGGCAGCCTTCTCTTATAGCTAAAGCTACAGCTAGTAACTATTCCAGATTCCAATAACCATTCATTTCCTCCTCTTGTCCTTTTAGGACTAGGTATGGTAACATTTCCTCACTATTACTAGCCCTGAGGCATTGCACCATCGCTTGTTGGTCTCCCTAAACCCTGTAATGTGATCTTTATTAAATACTCCTCAAATAGCCAGTTTTCAGTATGCCATCTATTTCATGCTGAAACTCTGACTGGCACCTTTTGAAATTGGCTTGAAAGTCATCTCACAACTACATTGTTGGGCCAATTGCAACTCAATGGTTCCAAGTGCTGGTGTGGGAATCCAAATGCTTGGGTTGAAATCACATCCTGACCACTTGCTTATCATCTGATCCTAAACAAATTTCTTAACTTTTCTACATCTCAGTTTTCTCATCTATAAAACAGAGTGGATACTAGTGGCAACTACCTCATGGGGCAATTTCAATGATTAAAATAGCTTAGAAGGACACCTGGAATATAGCAAATGCTTGGAAATGTTGACTATTTAAATTATGTCTTCATGCGCCCTGTATTATCCTTGGGAATAGGCATTGAAATAGTAGTTAAAAAAAGGCAATATATCTAAAGACGAGTGTAGGCAGTCATCACTTCAGTGCTTTCATTTATTAATATTTGGAGTTGCAGGTTTGCAGGTAAGTATATTGGACTAATTTCCTCTGGACCCTTGGGTGCCGTTTTTAACAACAGTTTTCAAAATTCAGCTATGGTGGCAAATTGAATTGTAAATAGTGAAAAACATGCATTAGTGATAAGACTGGTAGCACACTTAAACAGGTTAATTGAGAAGAGTTTAGTGAAGGGGTGATTTCATAATTTCA
Organism: Homo sapiens; assembly: GCF_000001405.40. Lineage (NCBI taxonomy): Eukaryota > Metazoa > Chordata > Mammalia > Primates > Hominidae > Homo > Homo sapiens. The sequence goes on along the minus strand of NC_000011.10, from coordinate 30,661,101 downwards.
ACATAAAGGTGTTGGCAAGGTTAAGAGAAACCTGAAAGGAAGAATGAAATATCCTAATACTGGCAACCTCTAGGATGTTATCATTTTCAGGTCTGAAGAGCCAGTGGAGAGGAAATAAGGAAAAAATAGGTTTCCTGAATTTGGAGACATCTATAGTGGTAATTGTAAGGAGAACTACCTAAAAGGAGCGGTGGTCTTCAACAGAGGAGCCAGGGGAAAAAAATACTCTACATATTCCTTCTTCTCACCTTCCAATCTCCTACTGACATCTCTCCTTGGGAAAGAATAGGGAATCCGGTTGACTCAGTACATAGGGATTAGCTTCCCAGCGAGGCAGAACAGGATGTAGAAGTATAGAGGGGTGGAGCATGGGATGGAAAGATAAATAGAGAATGTCCAATACAACATACAAGACCAAAAGCAAATGCAATTTCTTTACTTATTTTTTTCCTACAAACATATTTCTGCATCCTTTCACATAACTCGTCATCAGTTTTGATTAGCATTCTAAGGAATTTTATGGCACAAGAATTGTGAATAAAATATAAAAAAATGTGTTCATGCAGGTAATAAAACTAGTATTACCCAAAAATTAACCCCATCAAATTTCACTGTGTGTATTCAAAACACCCAAAACACTTTGTCATGGATTCTCCTTGTAAGAATGATGATGATGATGATGATTGCAACAATTATTTATTAACTGCTTACTATGTTATGAGTGTTTTAAATGTATGCTTTCATTTAACCTTGTATCCACTTTAGAAGGAAGGCATTATTACCTTATTTTATAGGTACTTATATAAAGAGGGAGTAACAGGTTAAGAGAGATTACATGATTTGAGACAGTTCATATGGCTCAAATAGCAGCCTTTAGGCAACATGACCCACCCCTTCAAACTTAACAGTTAGAAATACAGACTGGGCCCAAAGCAACTAGAAAGAAGGAGGTGGTACCAAGAGAGACACAAATCAATGAAAAAGAAAACAAGACTAGAGTAGTAATGATAAACACAACTGAAGGCTTTTTAAAAAGAATGTTTTTATTTTGGAATAATTTTAGCTTTAGAGAAAAGTTGCAGAGATAAAATTATGTATCTCAACCAGTTTTCCCTAATGTGAGAGTCTAACACTATTATGATTCAGTTTTCAAAACTGAGAAATCAACTTTGGTATGTATTACTATTAACTAAACTCCAGGCTTCGTTTGGATTTTTGTCAGTTTTTTCACTAATGTCAGAGTTTATAAGAGAAAAAAAAAAACTTTAACAACTGATCGAGAAAAAAACGTAATGAAGCTGAACATGGTGGCTCATGCCTGTAATTCCAGCACTTTAGAAGACTGAGGTAGGAGAATTGCTTGAGTCCAAGGGTTTGAGACCAGCCTGGGCAACACAGTGAGACCTCACCTCTATAAATTTGTTTAAAAAAAAATAGATGGGCATGGTGGTGCATGATTGTAGTCCTAGCTACTTGGGAGGCTGAGGTGGGACGATTGCTTGAGCCAGGAGGTTGAGGCTGCAGTGAGCTGTGACTGTGACACTGTATTCTGGCCTGGGCAACAGAGCAAGATTCTATCTTTCTCTTTCTCTCTCTCTCTCTCTGTCTTTCTCTCTCCATATGTGTGTATATACATGAAGAAAATAGCAATAAAATTATAAGAAACATATATGTATGTGTATATATATATATATATATATATATATATATATATATATATATGTCTCTGTCTCCAGTCCTCCAGTCCCTGACACAGAGCTTCTAAAGCCCTCGTAATTTCCTGAGTTATAGCAATGCTGGAGAATCTTTTTTTTTTCTTTTCTTTTCTTTTTTTTTTTCTTTTTTTGAGACGAGTCTCATCCTGTCTCCCAGGCTGGATTGCAGTGGCGCGATCTCGAGTCACTGCAACCTCTGCTTCCCGGGTTTAAGCGATTCTCCTGCCTCAGCCTCCCAAGTAGCTGGGACTACAGGCCCATGCCACAATGCCCGGCTAATTTTTGTATTTTTAGTGGAGATGGGGTTTCGCCATGTTGGCCAGGCTGGTCTCAAACTCCTGACCTCAAATAATCCACTGCCTTGACCTCCCAAAGTGCTGGGATTACAGGTATGAGTCACCACACCTGTAATGTTCTAATACTTGGTCTCTGCCCCAGTACCTGAGACAGAATTCCTAATATCCTTGTAGACAGGGATGCTAGGAGAATATTTTATTCTAATATTTGGTCTTTTACCCTGATTCCTGACACGGAGCTCCTAAGGTCTTTGTAATTGCCTGAATGATAGGAGCATCTGACACAGAGCTCTTAAATTCCTTGGAATTTCCTGAATGATAAGAACATCTTTTGTTGTAATGAGGTGACTCTTGGTGGGCACCTGGCTGAGGGCTGGTCACTAAAAAGACCAAGCAATGATAATAAGCTTGGAGATTTTGGCCCCACCCTCGCATTCTTCAGAGAGAAGAGATGGGGTGTAAATAGTTAATAATTGATAATGCCTATGTGATTAATCCTGCACTATGGGGTTCAGACAGCCTCCAGGTTGGTGAACACATCCCTGGGCTGGGAGGATGGCACATCCCAACTCCATGGGAACAGAAATGCCTGCTCTCAGGACCCTTCCAGACTCACCCAATGTATCTCTGCTTATCTTTATCCTTTATTATAGTCTTTATTAATAAACCAGCAAACATAAGTAAAATGTCTCCCTAAGTTATTTGAGGCCCTCTAGCAAATTAGTGGAACCTGAGGAAGGGGATTGTGGAAACCCTGATTTACAGCTGGTTGGTCAGAAGAACAGATGACAACTGGGGGCTTGTGGATGGCGTCTGGAGCGGCCCAGTCATGGAACTGAACTCAACCCATGGGACCTAATGCTATTTCCGGGTATGTGGTGTCATAACTGACTTGAATTAAAGGGTGCCCAGCTAGAATCTGCTAAATAATTGATTGGTGTGTGGGGAAACAGCCCCCACACATCTGGTATCAGAAACACTTTGGTTTTTTCCTGTCTCTGATAAACACAAATAAGCAATGATGTTAGTAAAAATAACTAGAAATAGAAAGTTTTTAACAAATAAAAAATACATATATTTTAGGCAGGGATGGTTGTACACTACAATTTCTGGCTTCCTTTACAGTTATGTATAACCCTATGACTAAATTCTCCCCAGTGGAATGAGAATAGTATTTTTGTATGCTACTTTGGGGCCTGGGTCTTCAGATCTTCATGCTTCCTCCAAGTCTTTCTTCTCTGCTCCCCCAATGAGAACAGTGGTCTAAGGAAAGGCAAAGCAGTTATTTGGGCTCCTCAATGAACTCAAGGAGCAGCAGGTTCAAACAACCAGTTTAAAGCATTCACATCATGCGAAAGAAAGACATAACTTTGTCCTATTCATTTATAATTTTTTAAAAATGTATTTTCAGCAAACTGGAAATATAAGGGAACTTCTTTAACTTGATAAAAGAATATCTAACAAAAGCCTCTAGCAAACTTCTACTTAGTAGTAAAAGTTTGAAAGCATTTTTATTAATGTCAAGAATGAGATATGGATGCCCATTATCTTCACTACTATTTAACATTGTACTAGAGATTCTGACATTACAATAAGGCCAGAGAAGGAAATAAGATATATGAGGCTAATAGACAAAATTGTCATTATTTGCAGTACTAGGGGTTAATTTACGTGGAAAATTGAGTAAAATCTATGGTTATTAAAGTGTATGAGAATTCAGCATGATTTTGGATACAAAATCAACAGTGTTCCTGTAACCAAACATTAAATAGTTTTAGGACAGTTGGACTTCCAAATAGAAAAAAATTAAACTAAATCTGTAAATTACTCTTGCCAAAAAAATATTAATTCCAGACCGATTAGAGACTTATAGGAAAAACAAAACTTTAATTCTATCCGAAGAAAACATATGAAAATAGCAAACGTTATGAACTTAAGGTAAGAAGGAATTTTAAGCAGTACACCAAAAGCTCAAGGCATAAAGGAAAAGTTTTAATAAGTTATTTTCTGTTATCTCTTCTATCACTCACTGCCTGTCAAAAGACTCAAAAAACAAAAGACAATATAAACCATAGACAGATGCTACAATACACATATTCAACTGAAATAAATAACTTCAAAGCAATGTGGAAAGGATAAACAGCCCAATAGAAGAACAGAAGGTGATTATGAACAAACAATTCATAGAAAAACAAAAACAGCAAACAAATTTATGAAAGGATGCTCAACGTAGAAAAATAGAGAGAATAACATAACCCAGGATCAGAATTTTTTATAATGTTAACTTTTTGCCCTAATAGCTTCAGATTTTTTTAAAAAAAGAAAAGACCTAAGTTGTTACTGAAAAACCTGAAGTTTCCTTTGTTCCCTGCCTTGTACTACCTGGTTTCCAGATTCACCTCAGGGCAATAATGATCGTCCATTGTATACATATTCTTCAGCCCGTGTTTTTTCATGTATATTTTGTATACAAACATTGTTGTATTGTTTTTAGAATGTACTTAGTGGAATTTTTTTTAAGTAAAAATGAAAGTGATCACAGGTTGACATTTCATCTTGGGTGGGCCTGACTTCAAAATCCACAATTTTCCCACCATGAATGATTATGTGCCATTTCCTAAACCATGAAGATCTCTAGGTTTCAGACCCAGACTGTTATCCTGTGTCAGCAATAGGGCTTTTTTGGGTGGGATGGGTGGAGTGTGAGGCAGTATAGAGCCATGGATAACAGCCAGGAGTGCAACCCTTGTTAAAATCCCTCCAAAAAACCCAAGCTTCAATACCTGGAAAGACTAAGAATAAGCCTACAACTCATCAGAGACAGACCTAAATCTGGGGAGCAGGGCCAAGAGTCCAGTATCAGAAGAGATGGGAGCAGAAGGAGTAGAAGCGATCAGCAAAGGATAACTCCAGCCCTGCCAGACTGTCTGGGAGGCCTCTGGCCTTTATGAATTTATAGATCTATAGTATCAGCAATCCAGCTCTCTTCAAACACCAGGGAAGGAATTAACATATTCTCCCCTGGAATTAACAATTTATGACTATGTAAGACTTTATTTTTTTCCTTTCATGTCAAGAAATATATATATATATGCACGTGTGTATATATATATATTTATACACATATATGTGTGTATATATATATATTTATACACACACACACACACGCATATATATATATATATATAATTTCTATTCCCATCCTTCCTTTTTCCCTCCTTTTCTCTCTGAGGCTAGTGTCAGCCAACATGTCATTCCCACCTTTTGGTTTAAGAAGCAGCAGATAATAGGACCACAGAGCAGAGTGATGGGCAAGATGTAATCCCGCCCCTTTTTGCCCTTTCCAAGAAAAAGTCACCATCCTATTGGCAGGGGCACGGGCAGCTTCAGCTTTTTGATAAAAAAAGAAAGGATCACAGAAAACACTACCCAACAGACCTCACTGTGGGTCTGCCAGATGGAAGCTCGACTGAGGAAAAGAGACGAGCAGGTGAAAATGGCTTGTAGAGAGGTCAGAGAAGTCAATGTAAAAAATGAGACAAAAGTCCTAGGACCATAGTAAAGCTCTTCGGCTTTCATAACCCCACCACAATTGTATTAGCTTAGCTGGGTCAATTAGCTGCCTACTCTGTCTTCCTGTGTTGTTAATAATGGGCAATATCCTTTCCCTTTAAAAAATGAAAATGAGGGATTTGTGGTTATAGTAAGCTATCATTAAAAGTACATGAATTCCTAAAAGCCTCTGAAAATAAATTAGTCTTCACATTACCATCTGCAACCATTTCACCTCAGCTAGTGATCCCATTAGCCCTTGTGCACTCTAAATAGGAACAGGCTTGGATATTACTTAAGGAAAGATCTCCATGGGAAATCAAGTGGTTTCAAAGATCAAAAAGAGAAATTCCAAAGGTGGCATGTCTACTCTCACATTGCTCCAGAGCCAAGACTCCTATGCCACATGAGGGACACCAACTGGGATATCTCTCAAAAATTAAGACAGGCTCTCCAATGCAAGTCATCAATAAAACTGCAGATGACTGGAAACAGGAAGGGAATCTGCACATTCAGATGCAAGTATAACCTGCTTAAATTCCATCTTTGGGTATCTACTTTCCTTTAAAACCATTCTCTGGACATCTCCACAGCATCAGATGCTGTTCACACTGCTTCCTCTTAGAAATTATCTTTTCCTCCAATGTAGTGGGTTGAATAGTGTCTCCCCAAAATCATGTCCTTTTCAGGAGCCTCAGAATATGACCTTATTTGGAAATAGAGTCATTCCAGATGCAATTAATTAGGACAGGGTCACACTGAAGTAGGGTGGGTCCTTAATCCCGTATGACTAGTGACCTTATAAGAAGAAGAGAAGAAACACAGGGACAGAATATAGGGAAAACTCTATGTGACAATAGACATAGAGATTGGAGTGATGTATCTATAAGCCAAAAAATGCCAAGGATTGATGGCATTACCAGTAGCTAAATCCGACATGGAATGCACTCACATTCTCCTTATGAGCCCCCAAGAAGGAACCGATCCTACTGACAACTTGATTTCAGACTTCTGTCTTCCTGAACTGTGTGGGAATAAATTTCTCTTTTAAGCCACTAAGTTGTGGTATTTTGGTGCTGCAGCCCTAGGAAATAAATGTACTTGACTTCCATACTGCCACATTTTTGGCCTCACACTTTCTCTGATCACTATTCTATCTGGTTCTTAAATGATGAACTTTCTCCAGGCTCTGTCCTAGCCATCTTCTTTTTCTCACTCTAATCTCCCCCTGTGTAGTCTAATCCATACTCATTACTACCATTTCAACCTTCATACAGTTGACTTCTACATTGATAACACCTCTGAAGTCCTATATGTAACCGCCTTACTCACTTCATCCCTTGGCTTTCTCAGAGCACTTCAAACACATACAAACAAAACCAAACTCATTATCTCCCAATCTCATGTTTTTTCACACACACACACACACACACACACACACACACACAGTTGACACTTAAGCAACATGGAGGTTAGGGGCACCAACCCCCTATGCAGTTGAAAATCCACATATAAGTTTTGACTCCACAAAAACTTAACTGCTAATAGCCTACTATTGATCAGAAGCCTACCAAAGACATGAACAATTAACTTGTATTTTGTATATGTATTATATACTGTATTCTTACAATAAAGCAAGCTAGAAAAAAGAAAATGTTATTAAGAAGATTATAAGGAAGATAAAATATATTGACCATTAGGTGGAGGTAGATCATCATAAAGGTCTTCATCCTTCTCATCTTTGCATTGAGTAGGCTGAGGAGGAGGAAGAAAAGGAGAGGCTGGTCTTGACATATCAAATGTCACACACTCAGCAAATCTGCGTTGTTCAAGGGTTGATCTATAGTTTGGATATTTGTCCTTGCCCAAATCTCACATTGAAATTTAATCCTCAGTGTTGGAGGTGGGACCTGAAGGGAGGTGTTTGAGTCATGGGTGTGGATTCCTCATGGCTTGGTGCTGTCTTCGTGATAGTGAGTGAGTCCCCCCAACATCTGGTTATTGTAAAGTGTGGCACCTACTTCCCACTCTCTCTTGCTCCCACTGCCACCATGTGAGATGCCTGTTCCCCCTTGCCTTCTGCCATGATTATAAGCTTCCTGAGGCCTCCCTAGAAGCAGATGCCGGCACTATGCTTCCCATACAGCATGCAGAACTGTGAGCCAATTAAACCTCTTTTCTCTATAAATTAGCCAGTCTCAGGTATTCCTTTATAACAATGCAAGAATGGCCCACCACAAGGATTAAATATATATGTATATGTATGTATATATATATATATATATATGTGTACATATATATATATATATATACACACACACACATACACTCACATACACACACATACACACACATATTCTTTCTAGGGCCAGGTCAGCAAACTTTTTCTGTAAAGACATAGATAATAAGTTTTTTAGGCTTTGTGAGCCAGGCTCTGTCGCAACTACTCAGCTCCGCATTTACAGCACAAAAGTAGCCATACTCACTACATAAACAAATGAGCATGGCTGTGTTCCAATAAAACTGGATTTCAGAAACAGGCAGTAGGCAGGATCTGTCCCATATGCCACAGTTTGCTGGCCCCTGCTCTAAAGGAATTATCCCCCATCAGTTGCATTATCTATTACACCAGCCAAAATCCTGCATTTAACATAACATCTTCCTCCCTCTCATGACTCTCCCTTAATATCCTCTCAGTCCTGCAAATTTTACTTCCTAAACAAGCATAATCCATCCACTCATCCTCTTTTGCCTGGATCACAGCACTAGTCTACTGACTTGTCTACTCCCATCCACTGTCAGCCTCTTCCCAGAGTGCTCTATATACCACAGCAGAGTGATCCTCTCAAAACGCACATTGAGCCATGCCACTGACTCTCACTAACCTTCCGTTGTTCTTTTTTTTTTTTTTTTTTTTGAGTCAGAGTCTAGCTCTGTTGCCCAGGCTGGAGTGCAGTGGCACAATCTCAGCTCACTGCACGCTCCGCCTCCAGGGTTCACGCCATTCTCCTGCCTCAGCCTCTTGTGTAGCTGGGACTACAGGCGCCCGCCACCACGCCCAGCTAATTTTTTGTATTTTTAGTAGAGACAGGGTTTCATCGTGTTAGCCAGGATGGTCTCGATCTCCTGACCTGGTGATCCGCCTGCCTCGGCTTCCCAAAGTGCTGGGATTACAGGCGTGAGTCACAGCACCCAGCCCCCTCCTATTGTTTTTATGACAAGGACAAAACTCCTTAACACAGCCAGTCATCTCTTTACATAGCTCAGCTGTACCTATCCCTCTAGCCTCACCTTCTATTAGGCTATACATTCCTTTCTTTTCCCCCCATACAGCCTTCCTTCCTTCCTTCCTTTTTTTCTTTCTTTCTTTCTTTCTTTCTTTTTCTTTCTTTCTTTCTTTCTTTCTTTCTTTCCTTCTTTCTTTCTTTCTTTCTTTCTTTCTTTTTCTTTCTTTCTTTCTCTTTCTTTCTTTCTTTCTTTCTCTCTCTCTCTTTTCTTTCTTTCTTTCTTTCTTTCTTTCTTTCTTTCTTTCTTTCTTTCTTGTCTTTCTTTCTTTCTTTTTCTGTCTTTCTTTTCTGTCTCCTTTCTCTTTCTTTCTTTCCTTCTTGCCTGCCTGCCTGCCTTCCTTCCTTCCTTCCTTTCCTTCCTTCATTCCTTCTTTTTTTTTTTTTTGAGACAAGGTGTGCCACTCTGTCACCAAGGCTGGAGTGTAGTGGCAGGACTTTGGCTCACTGCAGCCTTGCACCCCCCACTCCCAAGGCAATCCTCCCACTTCAGCCTCAGCCTCCTAAGAAGCTGGGGACCACAGGCATGCACCACTACACTTGCCTAATTTTTGTATTTGTTGTAGAGATGGAGTTTTGCCATGTGTCCAGGCTGATCTTGAACTCCTAAGCTCAAGCAATCCTCCCACATTGGCCGTCCCAAAGTGCTGGGATTACAGGTGTGAGCCACAGTGCCTGGCCCAGGCCCAATTTTTAATTTTTCAATTCCTCTTGTTTACCTTTGGGTACAGGCCTTTTCTCATAACATACATTTCCCCCTTCTTAGCATACTCTTAATTCCTCTTTTCACTTAGTAAATGTTTATTAATCTTTCAGCTCCAAGCCCAAGTACCACCTCCTTGGAGAAGACTTCCCTGACCTCTTCAACTAGGCCATGTTCTTCATTATAATTTATTGTGCACATCTTCTGTGCATAAGCATCAAAGTTGTAGTTTTATGCTTGATGTCATGATAATTTGATTATCTGTCTCCTCTACTAGACTGATTGATTGTAAGTTTCATGAAAGCAGGGACGTTGTTACTTTTGTCCTTCACTAGGTCCCCATCACCAATCATAGCAAGAACTCAATGTTATGAAATTATACAAATCTTGAGGTGCATAGGGACGCAGCTTCCTCTCTTTGCTTTAACTCTCTCTGTGTTTTGACTGGAGTTGCTCCACTTTTCTCAATTTCCTACATTGAAATTCCATAAAGATTTCCTTTTTAAAAAATAATTTAATATGTTTGACAGCCATGAGCTAGGAATTTATTTACCTCTGCAAGGTTTCCAAGTATACAGCCAAAACTGAGTCGGCAGACACCTGTGCAGGAATGTCATTCCTACAGAAGGAAGCTAGGCTCAGAGTTTGGAAAACTCTTGCCTTTTGTTCAGCTGTGATCATTTCACATTTTTTTATTTAAAAAATGTTTTAAAATTTCGGTTCTGTTTTTTAACCTCATATTTTAGTTTTTAAAGGTATGACACCTTTCATATTAATAAGTTTTCTGTGACTAAAAAAGCATCACAGAGATTTTTTTCCTGCCCTAGAGGCCACGTCTTACTGGACGCCAAATAAAATGAGACAGTTGCAACTGTACAACATTATTGAGAAAAATACTCATGAAGTAATTGAAAATAACAACTATCATCTGTCCATGATGAGCTAATTTGTCCACTGTGCTTGCTTCAAAATGTCTATTTTCAGTGTAATGATGAAATTATATGCCTATCCTCATTAGATCCTGGCATCATATCAAAATTATGTGTGTTGAGCCTGACAAAGTGGCAAATTCTATTTGAGCTCACTTCTTTTATGTTAAATGTTATACATATGGTGTTTTTAAAAAAGACTCCTTTTATATATTTATGGAAGGTTGTATAGTATCCAAGAAAGATCTTTAAATAGGAATTGGAAGAGTCAGCCTCTACTTCTGCCTCTGTCACTAACTAGCTTGCTGGCCTTACAGTTAACTTCTCTGCATCTCTCTCTTCACCTATAATAATAGTAGTATGTTTCCTACCTTCCTAGAGGGGATGTTATGAGACTCTAGAAATATAATGTGTGTGAAAGAGTTTAAATAATGCAGTGCATAAATAGTTAAAACAGTATGCAAATACAATAAATAATTATCGTTACTATAATTTGTGAAGATCTGTCTTAGTCTGTTTGGACTGCTATAACCTAATACCATAAACTGGGCAGCTTATAAGCAAGAGAAGTTCATTGCTCACAGTTCTTGTGGCTGGGAAGTTCAAGAACAAGGTGCCAACAACTTTAGTGTCTGGTGGGGAATCATTTCTTGGTTCATAGATGGGATCTTCTCAGTGTGTCCTCACATGATGGAAGGGGTGAGGAATGTCTCAGGGGTCTCTTTTATATGGGCACTAATACATTTATGAGGCTCTGCCTCAAGACCTAATCACCTCTCAAAGTCCCCACCTTCTGATACAATCATCTAGAGGATTCAAATTTGAACATATGAGTTTGGGGGACACAAACATTCAGACCATAGCAGGATCCCTTAAGAAGACAAAGTACTATATGGAGAACAGGGAAACAAGTAAAGCACAATCTACAAATTATTGATTAATAATAGTTAACTGATGGCCGGGCGCAGTGGCTCACGCCTGTAATCCCAGCACTTTGGGAGACTGAGGCGGGTGGATCACCTGAGGTCAGCAGTTCGAGACCAACCTGGCCAACATGGTGAGACCCTGTCTCTACTAAAAATACAAAAATTAGCCAGGCTTGATGGCAGGTGCCTGTAATCCCAGCTACTCAGGAGGCTGAGGTAAGAGAATCACTTGAACCCAGGAGGCAGATGTTGCAGTGAGCCAAGATCATGCTGCTACACTCCAGCCTGAATGACATAGCGAGACTCTGTCCATTAAAAAAAAAAAAAAAAAAGTTAATTGATGAGAAAATTTCAAGTTCTTCATAGATAATAGTTAATTAGTGGCCATTAGCACAAACATTGGTGATCCCCACCAGTAAGCAAAATATGAAAATATTTCCAAGTAACTGGATAATTGCCACAATGAAGGCAAAATACCCAGATATTGGAAACCATCAAGAAAATGGTTTAGAATAATTTAGACTTGTCTAAAAAAGAAAGGAACTACCAAGCTAAAAAGAATTCATATCACTGCTGATGGAATAAAGTAGCATACTCTTTCTGGAATGAAATGTGGCTCTGCATATTATGGGACCGTAATGGACATAACTTTGGACACACAATGTTTCTAGAAATGTTGCCTAAAACATAATCCGGAATATATTCAAAGTTAGGCACAAAAATTCACAACATCAAAATCATGATGAGATGCCACTTCACACCCAGTATGATTATCAGAAAATAAAACAAAACAAAAAATAATAAGTGTTGTTGAGGAAGTGAAGAAATTGGAACCCTCATGCATTTCATGGAGTGAGAATGTGATTGTGTAGCCACTATGGAGAACAATATGAAGGCTTCTCAAAAAAATTAAACAGAAATACCATATGGTCCAGCAATTCTACTTCTAGATAAAGACCCCAAAGAATTGAAAGCAGAGATTTGAAGAGATATTTGTACATCAAAGTTCATAGCAGCAATATTCATGATAGTCAAAAAGTAGAATCAACACAAATGTCTATCAACAGACAAATGGATAAACAAAATTACTATCTGCATATATTAAGTATTAAGGAATAAAATTCTGAAACATGTTATAAAATAGGTGAATAATAAAAACATTATGCTAAGTGAAATAAGCCTGACACAAAGAGACAAACTTTGTACCATTCCACTTATATGAGGTACCTAGAATATTCAAATTCGTAGTGACAGAAAATAAAATAGTAGTTAGCAGGGGTTAGAGGGAGGTGTGAATGGGAGTTTTTAATGAGCGTAGAGTTTCTATTTGGGATGACAAGAAAGTTCTGGAGATGGATAGTGGTGATGGTTGCACAATGTACTTAATGCCACTGGACTGTACACTTAAAATGGTTAAACTGGTAAATTTTATGTTATCTATATTTTATTTATTTTTAAAAAGAATATAAAGCTCATACAGATTTACAAGATAGCATTGTTTCTGATTGTTAAAACAGAAAATAATTTACTGAGCAACACCAGGGGTTGGGTTAAGTATATACAACATACAAATTCAGTGGTATACTGTGTGACCACTGAAAATCATGCATATATCTATAAGAGACTTGTACTAAAATGTTTCCAGCAGCTTCACTCAAAATAGACAAAAACTGGAAATAACTCAGACGTTCATCAACAGGAGAACAGATAACCTAGCCAAATTGTGGAATAGTCATATAATAAAATTCTACTCAGCAATAAAAAAAGATTGAACTACTTAGTGCAACAACATGAACAAATCTCAAAAGCATTATGTTCAGCAAAAGAAGCCAAATCAAAAGCACTACACACTGTATGATTCCATTTAAGTAAATTCAAGAACAGAAAAAACTAAACATTAGTTATCTTGGGGTTAGTGTTGGGAATTAACTGGAAGGTGGGACAGTTCTATATCTGCATTTTAATGTAGGTCTCATTGTTGTACACATTTATAAATCTCATCAAATTGCACCATCTGTTTCATTGTAACATTTATGTTAAAAACTTATAAAGAAGGGATGTACATTTTTTGTGGAAATAGTTTTCGTAGTATGGTGCTGGAGGTAAAACAGAAGCAATAACTATGGATAGTTCATGGGGCCAGCAGGATGGAAGGAAATAGGCAGGCAGGGAGAGAGGGAGGAAAAAGGACAAAACATGGAAATATAATAAGCCTGGAAACTTTGGGTGAAAGAAATAAGAATTATTTTTCTCCTTTGTTTTCTGTCTTTCCAAGTCTTCCACATGGAGCATTAATTTTATTTGCGAAGAGGGCAAAGAGTGTATTTTTAAAAGTGTAAAATGACACAAAAAAGTGTGACAATCAGATTTTCATAGAATTCAACTATATATTCAATATTGGTTTATTCAATATTGTTCAGGAATAAAATTCATAACGTATCTTACCTTACATTTCTTCAACCTTTGGTGTCATCAGGAGTGGCAAAGTTATTCAAGACAGGTTAATAAGCTTTTAAAACAACAACAACAACAACAAATAAGTGTCCCCCCTGCTGTACAATTTTCCAACACAATGGATAATTTGGAAAGTGCCACATTCTGTCAGTACAAAGAGGAGAAGTGGAGATGATCTTTGAGGGAAGAATTGGTCTTGTGTTTTGAGACTACTTTTGTTTTCAAAGCTAGATTTGGGTTCTGGTTTCAGAAAAATCCAATGAAATCTTGAAAAAAAAAACAACTCTCATTATATCTTCAAAATTGATTTACAACATGACATATATGGAAAAGGGAAAAAAGCTCATAAAATTGAATGTTGGATCCTTGAAATCTATATATCTGATAATGTGGTGGTTAGACATGTCAAAAATGAAATTTCCCGTTCATCTTGACAAAATTAAATTTAAATGTCTTTTTCGGTTTTCTATGTTTAAAATTTTGAAAAATGGATTGAAGATAGCAAATGTCTGTATCTTCTTTTTTTTCTGGAACTTGAAATAATTTCATGTGAGTGGCCTAATTATAATATGCTACAGTCTGTATCATCTCCTAAAGCAGAGAAAGACTCATTGAGACTTTTTTCATGTTAAACATGAAAGAATTTTAATGCTGTAAAGGTTGTTTCATATAATCTAGTCTAAGGTAAAGAAATGGGTTTTTATCTCATATGTCACTTTTAATGTATTGATTGAGTTGCCTGGCTTGCTGGATTGAAAGAGATTCATTCAGAAGCCCCATACATGCTGAACAGGGCACTAGGTTATAATTGATTACTAAAGATGGGCCTAGCCATGAAAAGCAAATATGGTGGTAAACATGTCAAGAATTTTTTTGTCCCAGCTGATTCATGAGATTAACGAAGCTCAATAGTGCCCATTCTCCTTCAGCATCCTCCTCACTATCAATGCCAGTTCTTCATCAGGTTTCCTAGTTGATAACATTTACCTACACTCTGTCATCATCTTATTATCTCTTAAGTTTCAAATCTAGCTCTATTGGGGCTTATCACTCCCATACTAATTCCTGGAAGCCATTGAAACACATCTGTTGGCATCTCATCTCTGCAGACCTCAAAGTGTCAATTACGCTGTAAAAAAATGCATTGTTAGATTATTTGAGGCCCCATAATTATAGGTACTCTTTAATTACAACCTATTTGAACCAAACTCTGACAATGATTGTCCAATTCATTCTATCGGGTATTAATTTGGGGATGGATGGCTCATGGTGCATTTGGGGGAAGGTATTTTTTAGATACTTTTGATAAAATTGTCTAGACATGATTATCCTTTAACAGGTTTCCACTTGCCTGTTGTCAATTCTGCTACCAATCCAAAAAGGATTTCACCTCTTCAGATCACAACTTTGAGATGAGGTCCTGCTCCCCTTTTTTTCCTTTTCTGCCTCTTTCTCCACATCCTAACCATTAGTGTCAGTTGCATTTTTTTTTTTAGAAGAAGCAAAATCATGCCAAGAAAGGATATCAGTAAAATCTCTATATGGATGCTAAAATTCTCAAGGATAATGATAAAATTCATGTATAAAGCCAGGTGCGGTGGCTCACACCTGTATTCCCAGCACTTTGGGAGGCCGAGGCGGGCAGATCATGAGGTCAGGAGTTCGAGACCAGCCTGGCCAAGAGACCAGCATGGCTAATATGGTGAAACCCCGTCTCTACTAAAAATACAAAATTAGCCAGGCTTGATGGCACATGCCTGTAATCTCAGTTACTCGGGAGGCTGAGGCAGGAGAATCACTTGAACCCGGAAGGCGGAGTTTGCGGTGAGCCGAGATCGCACAATTGCACTCCAGCCTGGGCAACAAGAGCAAAACTCTGTCTAAAAAAATAATAATAATATGAATGGCTACTTCATAGGCAGCAACCTGAAGGCTGTTGGTTGCCCATTTTTATGGTTGTTTATTGATTGTATGCTAAACAAGGGGTGGATTATTCAGGCCTCCCCTTTTTAGACCATACAGGGCAACTTCCTGATGTTGCAATGGCATTTGTAAACTGTCATGGTGCTGGTGAGAGTGCAGCAGTGAGGATGACCAGAGGTCTCTCATCACCGTCTTGGTTTTGGTGGATTTTGGCCGGCTTCTTTACTGCAACCTGTTTTATCAGCAAGATCTTTGTGACCCATATCTTGTGTTGACCTCCTATCTCATCCTGTGACTTGGAATGCCTAACAGTCTGGGAATGCAGCCCAATAGGTCTCAGCCTTATTTTACCCAGCTCCTACCCAAGATGGAGTTGCTCTGGTTCAAACGCCTCTGACATACTCCCCCCTCTCTTTTACAAGAGAATTTTCTTTTTTTTTTTTTCCCAGGACAGTGTTGCTCTGTCACCCAGGCTAGAGTGCAGTGGCGCAATCTTGGCTCACTGCAACCTCCACCTCCCAGGAGAACTCTTAATCTTAGGGGTTGTAGAGAGACAAAGATCCGTCTTCTGTAACTTCTTCATGCTGAACAAGGGTGATAGTATTCCTACCTAACTATTGGGTCTGTTGTATTCAGGATAGAAAGGAGCTCAGTCAGAAAGCCGTGGTTGGCAAGGGTCACTTATAATTTTCGAGTTCTGACAAAAGGTGATATCTGGAAGATTAATAAGTGCTCAGTGTAAGAAAACGGTGAGTAAGCTTATCCTGCATTCCTACACATAGAGTACAACAGCAATATATTCCACAACAGTAAAGCAAAATAAGTAAAATTATCCAAGTAAACTAAATTAGAAGGCTTTCTATGAACTGGGTTACTGTTGGAACCAAGCTGTTATAGAGTTGCTAGCTGATTACAATATGCCTAGAATTAGAATATTGGTTCAGATTTTTACATTACCCATCTTTCTTGTTTCTTTTCAGCAGCAGCCAGAGATCACTGATTACTTCACAGGAATACTCAAGGTCAGCCTAAAAAGCAGGAAAAAAACTTAAAAAAAAAAACTGATAAAACTAGAATCTAATAACCGGTGTACCATAGTTCTTGAAACATAATATTTTCTCTCCAGTTTCCCATTTTTGCTAAAGGCAAATCATAATAGGACTGATTTGTTTGTAAATATAAGCCTTAGTTTTATACTTGGCCTGATTATTTGTATAAAGTGCAGCAAGAATAATTATTTTTCACATAGGCTTTTTAAATTGGCTTTGACGGAACTTTGTTCCATAGAAGGAATTTTAGATAAGACTTTTTTAAAGCCAAGCCCAACCACGGGTTTGTACCCTCAAATACCTGTGAGTTGGGTAAATTCCTTTTCTCTTGAGGTCCCTTACTTAACACAGGATTCTTGAGGAATCCTGTGAGCATGCCATTCCAGTCAAAGCCTTTGTAAAATAACCAGTTTCTCCAATTGTGCCCTGTTGCAAAAGGAAACAGATTCTTATTGCACTTATACAAAGAACTGTATTGCCATAAGTTAAAAATACTCACAAATAGTTCTCAAATTCTGGAGAAATTAGGTAAAGAGAGAAACAAATATGCTCCAAATTTTGTTCACAGGAGTATACTTTACTCAATTGCTACAAGCTGGAAATAGCTCAAAATAAAAGTTTTCTTGACTCTGAAAAACAGAGCAAAGGATCAGCAACGTTTTAAGCAAAAAAGTAAAAAAATATTAATTCAGTCTTCCATTAGTCTATTCCGTTAACTCCAATTCTGCTTGATAGTCATGAACATTCTGGCTTTCCATGAGAGCCCTGAAAGTTTTTTTCTCTATTCTAATGTCACAATCACCAAAGTTATCAGAAACCTGCATTTAATAACACCTGTTAGAGTCCTATGGCTGATTATAAACCAGCTTTTAAAAAGGATCAAAACAAGACAACAGTTGTCTATGGATGATAAAATGTCTTAGGAGAGCCGCTATTAAAGCCACAACTGAAAAGGAAATATTGGTTACTTCTGTGGCATATAACAATTTTATATAACAATTATAATTATTAATAACATACATTAAGCCATATCAGATTTATAGGAGTTTCTCATAATTTTGGAACACAGACCAATAACACATTTATACAAATACAGCCCAAAGAAAAGCAAACATCATTTCATATTTGACACTGCTTCCTGTATGACTTTTATACCAAATAAGCCAAATTTCACCTTTACATTAGTATACTACTAATGTTAAACTCCAATTTTTAATAAAACTTTATACATAAATCTATCCAATCTTCATCAGTTTGACCATAAGATAAGATTTTTATAAACCTTCTATAAGCCTTTACAGATTTTCTCATAAAGAGCAGATGAGTACTCTTAGAAAACCTTGTTGTGCTTTTAGTCCAAGGCTCAATTTACGGAAAAACTGAGTAATACCCCTTTAGCTTTAGCCAGTATGTTCACACACAGAATTTTTTACAAGATTAATTTTTCACAAACTTTTCACAATTTGCTCAAACCTTCAGCTTTATTCTATCTAACTTAAAACAATCCTTTAACCTTTTAATCTAGGCAAAAAAAAAAAAAAATCCACATTTCCATGCCTTCTTATAATCTTTTACAAAAACACATTTCATTTTCTTTACATACCTTGCATGTAAAACTGTTTCTTCAGTAGTCTCAGTTACGTGGTATAATGTTAATTCTTAGCAACTTTTACCAATAATCTTTAAAACTATTTTTATTTCCCAAAGATTACTAAATCCATGTGAACCAAAAGGCATTACACTTTTTACTTTTCTCACAAAATATTTAATTGGTTATTATTTTTAAGCCAATTAAAGCTCTTTCATATATAAACATCATACACATAATACATATAAATACACAGGCAGACAGAACAAGATCCAGTAGTTGTAAGATTTTTCATTCACCAGTTCTTTAATTGGATTACTGACTTTAGGGTGCAGCCTTTGGAGTAACAGGGTCAGGAAAGTATGCAGTGTTTAGGGCCTAATAAGCAAACACAGTTGGAAGGAAAAACAGATCTCCAAAAATTAGGGGTCCTCTTTTTTTTTTTTTTTTTTTTTTTTTTTGAGACAGTCTTGCTCTGTTGCCCAGGCTGGAATGCAGTGGCGTGATCTCAGCTCACTGCAACCTCCGACTCCTGGGTTCAAGCGATTCTCCTGCCTCAGCCTCCTGAGTAGCTGGGATTACAAGTGCCTGCCACCATGTCCAGCTAAATTTTGTATATTTAGTGGAGACAGGGTTTTGCCATGTTCACCAGGCTGGTTTTGAACTCCTGACCTCAGGTGATCTGCCTGCCTCATCCTCCCAAAGTGCTATGATTACAGGTGAGAGCCACCGCACCCGGCCAAGGGTCCCATTTTTATACCAGATGCTGGATCCCCAAAAAAGAGGGAATCAGCCCATTCCAAAACTATATTTCCTACCTAGATATTACACACTAAAGCTCTCTCATAATGCAAAGTAATTTCTGATAACCCCCAAAATCAAAAACATCAGATAACATAATGCAAAAGAGAACAAAGCCTTAGACTTTGCAAGGGATCTATCCACTTCCAATTCCTGGGGTTTCATGAGGAAAACAGAGGTTTTTCCCAAAACAGGGTCTGTGGTGCCTCGTCTGCTTTTCCTGAGTCCCAGCCTGTTAGAGCTTGAATATACGCTTTTAATTAAGCTGACTTTTAACCACAGCGCTCTAAAAAATAGTCCTTTTGAAATTTCTTTTTACCCAATTTTAGTCAGGCCAAACGGCTGATAAGTCTGGCTTTTGAACTTTACCAAAAGTAACCTCACAGGTGCTGGGAGAAAGGAAAATTCAAGACAGTTTGTGGCGGGGAAGAGAATCAACAAATGGCAAAGGTCACACAGATAAATATTAAATAAGAAAGGACCTCATTCTCTAAGCCAGGAATTCAACCTGGGCCACCATTGTGCTGGCAGAGACCAACAGAAATCACGACCACATGGTTACAAGGTTAAGCTCCCAAGGACATTTTTCAACATGTGGTCTCTGGCCAAGATGATCACCCTGAGTAATAGAAAAGATAGGATAGAGAAAGAGAGAGAGAAAAGCATTGCCTGTAGCAGGGTGGGGAAAGTGAGCAGCTCACAGAGGCCAGAGAAAGACCCACCCATCCCAGTGACACTAAAAAGACCCACCTATCCCTGTGACACTGAAAAGGTCAGGCATCTGCTTGTCAGTGGTGAAGGGATCTTTTCCAGCAGTCCCATTAGCTCTCAAGTTTTCCCTTTTAGGGAGAAAAAAGCTCCCTATGTCCCATGGCCCTGTACATGCCTAATCCTGTCACCCACAGCTGTCAGCAAACTGTAAGGTAGATTAATTCAAAGACAATAACAGTTAACATTCCATGGTGCCAAACCCATTCTTAGCCAAGAGGGACTTTACTGAGAGGGGCTTCTAATCCCCAGAATCTTACAGAGGACTCTAACCTTCCTAAGTCGGGCCTGAAACCCAAGTTTGGTCAAGCATCCTTGCCTTTTATTGAGAGGAGCCTTTAACCCTCTCTGTCTCAGGAGAGACTCTAACTCCCCTAAGTTGGACCTCTAGACCAATCCGGGTATATGCAACCCTTTACCTGGGTATATGCACCCCACTTACCCAAAATCAGCCAATTGATGTGTGCAGATGATGTTCCTTTAGGTCATGGGTCTCATCAGTATTCTCCCTTCCATGGTCACCAGAAAGATATTATCAGACCCCACCACTTACCCAAAATTAGCCTTTCGGTCAGGGGTTTCCTTAGTATTGTCCCTTCATGGTTACCAAAAAGATGTTACCGGAAAGGGGTCCCCGATCCAGACCCTGAGAGAGGGTTCTTAGATCTCGTGCAAGAAAGAATTTGAGCCAACTCCATAGAGTAAAGTGAAAGTACGTTTCTTAAGACAGTAAAGGAATAAAAGAATGGCTACTCCACAGGCATAGCAGCCCCAAGGGTTGCGGGCTGCCCATTTTTTTCTTGGTGATATGCTAGACAAGGGGTGGATTATTCATGCCTCCCCTTTTTTGACCATATGGGATAACTTCCTGATGCTGCCATGGCATTTGTAAACTGTCATGGCACTGGTGGGAGTGTAGCAGCGAGGATGACCAGAGGTCACTCTCATCACCATCCTGGTTTTGGTGGGTTTTGGCCAGCTTCTTTACTGTAACCTGGTTTATCAGCAAGGTCTTTATGACCTGTATCTTGTGCTGACCTTCTATTTTATCCCAGCTGAGAATGCCTAACACTCTGGGAATGCAGCCCAGTAGGTCTCAGCCTTATTTTACCCAGTCCCTACTCAAGATGGAATTGCTCTGGTTCAAAGGCCTCTGACAAAAGGAGGAGACTCCAACATCGAGATAAAGAGGACTTCATGAATAACAGGACTATGAACCCCTGGAAACATTGTGTAAGGAATTGGGAGAAGGAAACAAAAAGAAACGATTAACTGGGGAGCAGCAGATGAATAGACGAGTCTGGATATTAGAGTATAAAAGAGAATATTTGCAGGGATATCTGAAGATGATAAAGATAACAGGCAAGAAATTAACCTCCAAGTTTTAGTAGAAATTTGATCAAGGGGCAGTTTTTGCACTGACACTGACATCGCCCCCATATTTGGAGAACTTCTGGATTGGCCTGCACTAGGATTAGAATATCTCTGCAGGTAGAGTGGGCAGAGCTGCCAGATTTAGCAAAGAAAATACAAGGTATCTAGGAAAATTTGAATCTTTCATAAACATAAAATAACTTTTTAGTGTAAGTATATGCCCTGCAATACTTGGGACATATGTTTACTAAAATATTGTTCTTTGTCTGACATTCAGACTTCACTGAGCATCATGTATTTTATGTGGCAACCTTGGAGTAAGGAAAGGAAACGAAGCAGATGCCGAGTAGTACTAATCACAGCTAACATAACAGGCGGCTAATTAGGGCAGAACCAGATCTGGAACCGAGTTCTCCTACTTTCAGTCCAGTGCACCATTCTCTGACCCTAGAGTTCAACTTCAAATTTGTTATGAAGTTAGCTTATCTATCCCACCAATCACATTCCCAGTTTTTGTCTCTGGAAGGAGGGTATAATTGCCATCTCCAATAAATAGGGAGAAGAGAATCTTCTTGAATCACACCCTCAAGTCTGCAATTCTGATGTTGCTGCTGAAAGAATGTGTTCCTAATTTTGCAAATCAAGAAGGAAGGTGACACCCATTAAGAAATATCAAATGAAATATTTAAATGTATTTAGATTTCATATCCTCAGGTTGAGGAAACCATAATACAACTGATTATGGAAACCCTCGGGGTTTATAGGAAAGGCTGCTTCTTTTAGTGAGTAGTGAATAAATACCAAAATGAAGTACTTAAAATTGGTTTAGAGTACACCTCAGTGCAGAGCCAATAAATTAATAAAACCTGATAAGTTTTCAGATCCCTCGAGGGGCGAATATGAAGCCTGAAATACATAGAATTCACAGCAACATCACAGAACGGTGAAAGTTAATTTTTTTATTCCCCATGTAGCAAGGCCCAGCTAATTTTTCACATTTCTTTAAAATATGTGTGTGTATATATATATTTCTTAGTACCTATTGCTTAATAGTGATTTTGATGTCTTTTTTTTCAATTGCTTTCGAGGAATTCTAACTTACAAATAAAGAGATGTGCAGATGGCTTTTATCTTATTTACTCAAGTATTTTCAGTGCACTCAGTAATCAGTGGGGTACACTTATCCTGGTGTTGGGGAGGGAATTGCATACCCAGCTCCTATTACTGTTCATAAATTATTGTTCCCATATGCACCATCCTGAGAATGTACCCCAGTGGGCTTTGTTTGGGATGTGTATTCCTGCAGTTGGTGGTGCTAGGAGTCTCACCAGAAATCTGGAAAAGACCAATTAAAAGGCAAATCCTCTCTTCCCATTTCAATAATGCTGACCAAAGCAACTGAACATAAGGAGATAAATGTGAATTGTTTTCTATGTTTTGCATAAACACTGTAAATTTTAAAATACATTTTAATACTGAATGAACATAATGTCCCCTGGAGAGTTCTGTTTACAAACCATTTAAAGACACATCATTTAGACAGCCCACCTTCATAATTCAAATGACCTCAGATATTTTGCATTAAGGCAGTTCTGATACTTAGGACTTGAATGCTCACAGAATTAAGTAATAGCATAAAGAAGCTCCTATATTTATTTAGAGAGCAAATTAGACTTTGACACGGGTAATAGCAGCCACACCAGGGTCCACTCCTTTATAAGATATTTTAGTTAATCCCTCTCTGATTGAATCAAGTTGCAATGTAGTTACTGCTGATTTCCAGGATTCCAACTTGGGGGTAGGTCTATGTCATGGGGCTTACATGGGTGCCCATAAAGGTCTGTGGAATTGATGCAGTCTTCTACTTATTGGTTTCCTGGGTATACCCGATGGAATAGTATACCATTTCTACCCTTAAGTAGCTCTCAATACAGTGAAGACTCTTGAAAGATGCAACCAGGGCAAATAAAATGATGTTGACTGGAATACAGAGGACTCTTCAGTAAGCTAGGTATAGTTTTATGTCTAAGTGAACCATGCCAGGAGCCCTCCTGAATTACCACCAGAATATAGTTTCAGATCATTCAGCGTTTTTTCTTCTTTTTCTTTTTGTTTTTTCTCTTTTAGAAGCACTGATCTTAAATATCAGGGGAAAACATATCAATTTTTGTTTGTTTGTTTTCTTACAAGGACGGTTCCTTTTTTTCACAAATAAAGATTTCTTTCTGAAGAAATGTCTTCGTTAAAACAGCCAGCACTTCAATTCAAAACAAAACAAAACAAAATAAAATAACTTAACCACACAATAATATACAATGACGGGTCAAATAAAAATAAATACCCTAGCTCAAAAATGATACAGATAGAGTTGTCACTCAGATGGAAGAAAGAGAAATATTTTGGTACTAGCAATGAACCTTGGTTCTAATGATCTAAAATATGCTGCCAGATTCATGAGTATTTTGCTTCTTTCTACATATCTATTTTATCTTTATTAAGGAAGTTGATGAAGCCTTTGATGTTCCAAAAACACAATATGGAATGAATTAAACATCATTTTCAGAGTCATGTGTAAAGATTTGGACTTGTGATTTTTTTAATCCAGCCAACCAGTGTCCAAAGCATTTTTCATTATTATTAACATCTTCTCCCACCAATTTCTTTCCCAGTCTGGTACCTCATTCTGATTAATGGACTAGTAGCAGGGACTACTTTTTTAAAATGATGTTTCGCTTAGAGCATCTGTTTATGTTTCAACAAAACAAATAAAGGCAGGCATATTAAAGAATATGGTGTTTTAGAACAAAGAAAACAACCAAGATTAGAGGAAAGTTAACTGTTCCCCGGGGAGAAACCCTAGTGGTTAAACTGTTTCATCAGCGACAATACAGAAATTGTTTTAATGGTGTTTTGAACATCTTATTCTTGCAAAAATAATACTCATGCTCACAAAACATAAAGGTTGAAATCAAGGCTGTCCATTTGTAAGGTTGGCATTTATTGAGTGCAATATTTTATAAAGTCTGTTAAAGCCAGTAGTGTGAGGATATAGAAACTATGATACACCTTCATACTGGATCAACTATTTTTCATGCTAAACTGATTAATACTATGGAGAAAAATGACTGTTATTCAGAATATGAAGAGAGGTTTACTTTACAGTCTTGGGTTCTTGGGCAAAGCAACATCCCAAAGCTTATTTAATAGCAATTGAGAAATCACACAGGACACAAAACTGAAGTCTTCTATTTATTTAAAAGCAAAAGTACACCTATGGCATTTGTCTTTGTTTTCTCTTCCCAATTAAAACTACAGCACTTCTTTCTTGCTGTTTTTATTTTTCAGGCCTCAGTTTTAAAATGTTAACTCTACTAAATATTTTGGGGAGGCACTTACCCCACATACTGAAATCTGCTGCAGATTTTCTCTGTTAATAAAAAAAAAAAACCTGTAGCCATTAAATGCATGCTGTCATCACTAGATTACCTTGTAGAACTTCAAGATTTGTCACAGCAGCAAACTCTATCATGTGCACGGCAATGTATAAACAGACAGGGCAAAAGCCACCACAGGAAGAACATCCATGTTAGAGTCTTTAAAATTTCTTTCTCCGTTGGTCTAAACTACAGATTGGTGTCCTTCCATTAAATGCTTTGGTTTGCTTTGATAAAGGCTGTTTGTCACAGCCCGTGTTTGGGGGCAGAAGTTCTTGGGTAAAACTTGTCATTATTTATGTACAAGAAAGAAAAACCTTGTCTATTAAATTAATTAGAATGTGGCCTGAAAAGGAATATTTTTGATCAGTGAAAACAGAAGTCTTCGGGTAAAGGGAAAAAGAGGCAGAAAGGTTCAAAATACAGGGCTGCATTGTTTGCAGAAAGCCTGCTGCTTCTTTTATGCCTAACTGAACCATGCCAGGAGCCCTCTTGAATTTCTACAAGAATACAGTTTCAGATCATCTGCATTCAGGGCCAGAGTCATGGCCCTGGAACCGATAATTGCCTCTGACAGGATTTAATTACCTTCTCTAGGACCTTTTCTCTGTTTGATTGGAGACCACCCCCTGCCTCCGATCAAATCAGACAGTAATAACACGCTGAAGCGCAGCAGCCAATCACGAGTCAAGTCTGAACAGTGACCTTGCTGAGTCGAAGCTGATTGGTGGTGTCAGCCTTGTCAACGGTGTCAGTGAACCATCAGACAAGAAAGAGCGAGGGGGGAGCGGAGGAGAGCAACGGGAGATAAGAGAACAGCATTAATGCTAATGGAGGCTGTCAGCATTCAAGGCTCCAGGCCGCCTTACAAGCGGCCTTGCACAAAAACAAAATATTAGAGAACTCATACAAGTCTAAAATATTCAGAAGGGGAACATTTTCGCTTCTCCAGTTTGGGGAATCTATTCAAGGTATAATTCACATGCAATTCAGATAAAGTGACAGATACACGCACATGACGTGACAGAATAATTTTCATGAAAAGAAAAAGCCCCACAAAACTTATCCAGATGAATTTGGGGGGCAAGGGGTGGGGGTATAAACTACGTGCATGACTTTTTTTTTTTTTTAACTATAGCACTGAGAATGCTGGTATTTAAGATGCACCACAAAACTCTGCTTTTAAAATCAACCTGACTTAGCAGTCACTATATTACTTATGACCATTTTAGTGTGGAATATGAGCCTACCTGTAATATTAACAAAGAATAATACACTCATTAAATGGCCAATCTTTATGTACATACAATTTTAAGATTACTTATAGTAATGCATAATTCTGGTGATCTGCAAAAAAAAAAGTTTAAGACATAAAACTTGGTTAACCTCTATTCTGTTAAAAAAGGTTCTTTTCCCCACAAAAACAACATCATGGCATCAGTGAGTTAGAATATGCAGAAAGTCTGTTACAAAATGGTAATAAACTGAGATCTGGAAGACATGTAGAATGCGTCATTAGTTCTGTACTAATTTGGAGCTTAATTTATTCATTACATTCATCTATAAATAAAATAATCTTCTCCATAGCATTTATTTTGTTTCTGACTCACCTACTTCTTTACAAATGTGGAATCTAATACAAAAAAAGTGTTTACAGAGGAGTATTGTAATTTCTCTTAATTTAGAGCCTAAAATTCAGTTATATTTAGAGAAATAGAATGTTTACCAATTGTGATTCACAGTATGTTTCTCACAAATTTTTAAAGAAAATTGTGGTCTAATTTAACACCTTTCAAAAGAAGACATACTTTGTTATATGACTGTCAGGCTTTGCTAAATGGAATATTATTTTTCAAAATAGTATCGGCTGATTCAAGTTTAAGACAAACTTCTGCCACATCTCTACAGATATACATTTCTTTGAGCAGTTTTCAGCTTCACCAAGGATTTTTACCTAAACAGCCCTTGCAGAAGTTGATTCAGTGTTTTTGATTCTATTGTTTAAACACCTCTCCCAGAAGGAACATGTATTTAAATAAAGAATAGATTTCTTTTTTGTATATCTACAATTATTTTCCTTTATGGTTATGGAGTTTAAAAGATAGTTTAATTAACATATACCTAAATCATATTTTTATACTGAATTGGAATTTATAAGGGACTTTTTAAGATGATATAATTATTTCAAGTTTTGAAGAACTATTTGCAACAACCTACAGGGATACAGTGCTACTTTGAAAAGATTGTTTATTTTCAGAGCCCCTTGGTTTAAGAAGTCATCTAGGGGAAAAATGTATCTTACACAAGAAAGCAGAAGCTTTACAGTCTGGTTCCAGCTTTGCTATTGACAAGCTGTCCGATTTGGGTCAAGTCATTTTATCTCCATGGGTATTGGTTTCCTCAGCTTAAAAAGGCAGTTAACATGAGGTTACCTAAAGTTAAAAGTATGTAGAGTAGAGGTATAATTAGCATGCAGACATAATAACAGAGTCATTTCACTTCTCAGGGACACTAAAAAAGCTTCTCTGCAACTCAGGGTTGCTGAGTTTCTCTGCCTCTATTTCCTCCAGCCCCTTCCAGTCACACAACCTCACACTACTTAACATACACATTCACACTCATAGCTCTTATGACCAGAATTGAGGTAGGCAACAAGTAGTCACCATCAGTGTCAGGACTAGACCCCACACCTGCTAAATCTTACCCTTAGGTTTTTTCAAACCCCACTTTTTGACACTCGGTACTAACAAATTATATTAGAGTAAGTGTTGATCTTTTACTGCAGTGCGTTTAAGTATTTTTCATTTGTAGACTCCACATCCATCATGAGATCTTACCTGTGTAACAGAGCAGATGCTTAACAAATGCTTTTTAGAGGCTATAACAAAATTAAACAAACCTAGTCTGGTGTGATTATCATCAGTGTGAATTACTACTCACTGTTGGCCACTATTTTCAAGTCTAGAATATACAGAACTCTAAGAATG
This sequence comes from Homo sapiens, assembly GCF_000001405.40. Classification (NCBI taxonomy): domain Eukaryota; kingdom Metazoa; phylum Chordata; class Mammalia; order Primates; family Hominidae; genus Homo; species Homo sapiens. Next base: position 30,633,318 of record NC_000011.10, on the reverse strand, counting down.
AGGACAAATTTTATTTAGCTATTTTGAAAATGTTCAAGAGAGCAAAACAGAGAAGTACATGTACATTCCAAACATGAGAAGGTTTTTATGTCTCCAAGCAGGTAGTCAATAACATTTTATTTCAATGGAGGATACTACACTCTCGAAAGACTATCTACCCTCAATTGTGAAGGGAAGAGCAAATTTTCAGTCTGTCCTCCTGTTATCCCATCTTTAACCTGTTCAGATCAGAGCAGCTTTCACAGAATGAAGAAGAAAGAAGTGTCATGCCTTATTTCATTTCTTTAGCAACAATGCTATTATTCTCACCCTGGAAAGGTGAATAATTAATACCCATCTGACTCCACCTAATTAAGTCTACATTTGCCTGTTCTGTTCATTTGAAAATACTTTCCTTTAGAGAAAATAGCCATTGCTTATCTTCACAGTTTATATTTCTTAAATGGACACTTTTGGAATTAAAGTGATTTTATCTTGGTTTTAAAAAGCCTTTCCCTTTTTGTGCTAATCATTAGGAATCAACGACAAAGCCTACTATTTTTCTAAATGGGAGAAAGAATATTAACCAATTCCTGGGTTAAGATTCTTATAAAACAGATAATCAAGCCCCTTGTAATCCTAGGGTATGTTCCTTTTTTTTCTAGAGAGATGGGGGAAAAAAAACTTTTTGGTCCTTTAAAAACTGAACACAGACACACAAAATTAGAAATTAAAGAAAAGCCATGCAACAAGGGCTTATATCTTGGTTGCTGTTTCAGAATGATCCTTGCATAATCTGAGTTACAAAACAGAGTGACTCTAATTGCAAATTCAGTCACTCCTTGACTGAAGTTCAGAAATCAATTCCCAGTAAAATATGACACTCATTCATTCAAAACAATAGAATCGTCAATATTTCACCATCAACAGCCTAGTTAGGACCTACTTCAGTACAATCCAAATTCAGTTCTTTTACTCTGCCAGGCAAATCCTTTTTATCCCATGTAACTCTTTCCAATAATCCAAAACATGTTGGAAAATTAAACAAAATCATGAGGTTGCCAAGACTTGTAGGGAGAATTTCACTCAAACACTTCTGATCTCAGACTTCTGATTTTTTCCTTAATTCATATTGATTGTCAACTTCACTTGTATCCTTGTGGCTCGGCAATTTAAGTGTAGATATAAATCATCCGAGGGAGAAGGAGAGAGAGTAATGTGGACCAGGGACAGGGCAGGAAGAGGGTAAAAGAAGATTCAGGTTCAATTAGACAGTCTAGAATCTGATCTGGGATTGTAGAATCCTGAAGTTTACTTCACGTACAGCAACTGAATGGAAATTACAACACAATTTTCCAACAGACTCCACTTGGTATCATTTTCTCTATCCCTCAAAGAATCAGAGAAATGACAGAACTCAGATATGGAGTTGGAAACCAAATGTAAATAGAAAACTGGTAAATGGATAGTTTTGAATCAGTGAATGTTTCTGACACTGAAATTCCCAAGTTTTGACCCCTAGCTCTGAGTTTACTTCTCCTTTGGTGACCTTATCTAGTTACTGACTGCTAAAATCTCAGTTTCTTTTTCTAAATTCTGCACTCTGAGGTATTAAGAAATGATTCTTACCTTTCGCTGTGAACTTTTAAGATCCCTAAATAAAATACCCAAGGCTTATATTGTTTTGTCACATTATTGTTGTTACTATTACAACAATGTTGGGGTTTGCCTGTGTGTTTCCGAAGGGGTGTTTCTAAAAAGAATACATCTGATTAAGTGCACTGTTTATTTACTTCAGGATCCACATTTTAAAAGACTTGCACACAAAAGGCTTAGAAATGCTTCCAAATGAAAAACTCTAGTCAAATGATTACTCAGCTGGCAAAATGGAAATTTCAAGTTGCATAGACAGCTAATTGTGGCCTGCCTGTGGAATGACAGGTCTATAATTTTTAGTTTTGTGTGCATTGAAAGCCAGTCACCTTGACACTCAGTGGTCCATTATCCACCGGCCACCAACCATATGATGTTGTTCAAGGAGTGACAGGCACTTTCCATTATGGGTGATGAAACACACCGTGCTTTATTTGGATAAAGCTGTCGTAAGGAAAAAAAGAAAGTCAGGTGCCTACTCCTCCCCATGAGCAACAATGACACTAACACACCTTTAATTCCAGAGGATGAACTTCTTTGTTCTTGTATAATAACAACCATCAGTTACTCTTGGTATTTGTTGCCAACATTTTTGAAGTGCTTTAATATGTCACGATCTTAGCCTTTTAAATATAAATTTCACCTCTTAATGTCAAGAGCTCTCACCATTAAATTATATTATGTTGGAAGAATTTGAAACCTGATTAAAGCCTGCATCCCAGGGAAAGTTTAACATATTACTTCTTTGCCTATTTTTCCCCTCAAAGCTATCATTTCGATAGTTCCAAGGTTTTATGATGTGGGGGAATATTATTAAACCCAGAGCCAGGAGACGAAATTGTAATCGCAGTTGTGAACTAATAGGCTGTTGATTTTGAAGAAGTATATCTCCTCTCTGAGCCTCAAATCTTTAAAATAAAGAAGCTGGAACAGATGCTCTCTTCATTTTTGTCTATCCCTGGAAGTTCCTATTTCTGTATTAATATTAAAGTCTTGATAATAAAATTTTCCTGGCTGCAAATAAGACCAAACTTCATTTGTCACATAGAGCAGTAAGGAAGTCAGTAGTCTCCCCTATCCAAGGTGATATGTTCCAAGACCCTCAGTGGATGCCTGAAACCAAGGATAGTACCAAATCATATATAATACCATATTTTTTCCTGTACATACCTATAATGAAGTTTAATTTATAAATTAAAGTAAAATATGAACAACAATAATAATAAAAATAGACCAATTATAACAATATACTGTAACAAAAGTTATGAAAATGTGGTTTCTCTCTCTTGCTTTCTCTCTTCCTCCCAAAATATCTTCTTTTACTGCACCTTGGGTAACTGAAACCAAGGAAAGAGAAACAGTGGGTGAGTGGGGACTACTGTATTCAGCTACAGGTCATAATACCAATGAACTGTGGCATTAAAAGGAAAGACAATCAATGATCATACCTAACAGAAAATTTGGAGGCATGTTCCTTATGATTCTTTACAGCAGCTCAACATTGTTACCAATTACTTGGGTTCTGAGCTCTTTCTTTACTTACTGTGTGTGGTTTTTATCCTTAGTTGTCATTTACATAAGATGCAGCAGCAGCTCCAGGCATCAAGTTATCTCCCCCAAAAAAATTCCTAGACAGAAGAAAGGGGAGAGACTGGAAAGAGTGATCTCTGGTTATCAGGAAATAAAAATTTACCCAGAGGCATTGTGGTAGACTAAATACTGGCCACCATATCCTTGTTTGAGTACCCAGAACCTGTGAATGAAACCTTATATGGCAAAAGGACTTTGCAGATGTGATTAAATTGAAATGGGGAGATTATTCTGGATAACTCAGTGGATCCTAAATATAATCACAAGTGTCCTGATAAGAGGGAGACAACCAGAGCTTTGACACAAAAGAAGAGAAGTAGGAGAGATAAGTAGAAGCAGGAGGTTGGAGTGATATGAGAAAGAACTCATGAGCCAAGAATTCAGGTGGCCTCCAGAAACTAGAAGAGGTGAGGAAACTGACTCTTTCTGGAGTCTCAAGAAGGAAGACCCCTGCTGACACCTCCACTTCAGCCCAAGGAGACTGATTTCAGACTTCTGGCTTCCAGAGCTATAAGAGAACAAGTGTGTGTTTTAAGCCTCTAAATTTGCTGCAATTTGTTATAGCAGCAGTGATAAGCTAATACGAGTCCCTGAGTACACTTTCCTACATGTCAGATTGGCCAGTTATCGTCTACATATGTGTGACTCCTAGACACAAGGGAGCCTGGGGCAATAAGTAGCTGGCAAACAAATAAAATAGATGTGATTGTGTTAGATCTATTCTGATTAATCCCCTGGGCTAGGTATGTTGCTGGTCTCAAATAAACTGGAGTTCTCTGAGCATGTAAGAGTGGGGATAGAAAATTAGTAAGTTCTGTCAGAATCAGATTTCAAGGAAATCTGTGAACTTTGAGATTATTTGCATCTTGATACAGTTCAGAAATCTACCCAATTGCAATATTCACTAAGTGCCTAGTCATCCTGCTTAAAACTTCAGTGATTTGCAAAGTTCTCCCTAGTCTAGCCCTTGTGAATCTTTTTAGCCTGCCTCCCAACACTCTCTAGAGATCCAACCTTACTGGTTTTTTGGCTGTTTTTACAAAGGAGGCTTCCTTCCTAAGTCATCTCACCATACATTCGGTTTGCTTTCCATTGAAATCCCCCCCATCTATCCCTCCCCTCATATTCTTGGCTTAGGTAAATTCCATTGACGTTTCAATTCTCAGCTTAAACAGCAATTCCTCAGAAATGTTTCCCTGGACTATCCTAGCCTAAGATAGCAACACGTTGTATTCTCCTTTAGCATATTTTATGTAACACTCATCAGACTGAAAACTATCTGTTGGATGCTGTTTTCTTCACTAGGCTGGGGTGCAGCCTGGTTCTAACAACAGGAGAATATTTTCAGGGAGAGGATAAGCCAGGTAATGAGGTCAACCCTGTTGGCTTGTGAGGAAGCAAAACATAAAGAAGGCAACACAACACTTTCTTACCTGTCTCGTCATGTGAGCACTGATGCTTCCATTGTGTATTAAACAGTCTAACTCTTGGTTTCATTTGTTTCTTTTGACAGATTTTTATCATAGCCCCCACAAGCATGTCAATATATTGCCTTAAAATTATTGGAAAGGAGCTACATTGAGAGAATGTGCCAAGAAAAGCGAAATATGAGGTGTTAAAAAACCTCTCCCTCTATCTGAGCAGTCAAAGCTTCATCTGCCTTATTGACCACTCTTTGCAACAGAGCTAGGCACAAAGTACTCTTTGGAGAAATAATATTTATGGATTAAAGGCACCAAGCTTAACACTGGAGCTGTACAAGACAGGGACTTTGCCCACAGGGTGATTAAACCTATCAAATCACCCTGAATAGTGTTACTTGAAATTTGGTCCATACCACTTGCATCAGAATCACTTGCAGTGCTTGTTTAAGAATATTCTTAGGTCCTACCCTTGACCTACAGAATCAGATTTTCTTGGGGAGTATTACCTCTGGTGATTTTAGACCAGCAGAGTTCAAAAACAATTACCATTAACTGAAAACAAAAATGGATAGTCCTATTTCTTTTTGTTTTTAGCCAAGAAATGTTGTGCTTTCTCTTGCTTCTAGTCATTTCAAAGCTTCACAGACACTCCCCCTTCTATGTATATTTAGTACAATGTTTTACAAATGCCCTACTCAATTCGATATTGCATCAGCTGAGCAATTCCAGGGTCTTCATCTATTCCTCTATGCAACTATAGAACTAACACACCGTTTACACCACAGGATAGCTCACACTTGGGGAATTGTGTTTCATCTAATCTAATTCCTTACAATTAATGAACAAGTCCTATCAATTTAATGGTGTTATCTCAGGTCCACATTTTGGTGTAAATTATTTATCCCACTAATTTAATGGCAAACAGTCACCAAGGCGAGCTTAAGGCAATAATTTCACACATATATTGGTTATAGGTTAATTATTTAGGTGCCACAACTGACTTTGCAATAATGAACTCTCTTGGGCAGACCCCATAAAATACGTTCCTCAGCTTTAAAAAAAAAAAAAAGAGGTTTAATATTTTGAAGTTTCTCATGCTGAAGTTTATGTAACCTTCTGAGTTATACTGAAATTTTAGGGAAGAGCAGAGAGAGTTTGTGCCAAACAAAAGACAAAGTGGAGAACATAATGAAGGAAGAAAGAGCAAGCATGTCTGCAAAATCTTTATGTGAAAGTTCCCAAAATTAGTGGTGGCATAAATCAAGAATTGTGAGATTTTAAAAACTAAATACTAAAATTTCAGGGCATTGCATATTTTTAAAAAGTCTCTTAAATTCCTCCATTTGAAATATATAGACTTTAATATTTACAGTATCTTATACCAAGTTCAATCTTTTATTCATTTAACCATAGTCCATAGGAAAAAAAAAACTCAACAATTTTGATAGAACACTGGTTCCCAACCACAGCAAAGTGACACTCTGATGTACTGTGCATCTTCCACAGGCATGTGGCAAAATTTAGTCACATTGAAAACTTTATTTATTACAAACTAGGATACAAACTATGAGAACAAATAAGTAGAATAGTTCATGCAATGTGGTGTATTGCAGGATAAAAACCATAGGGAGTAAAAGAAGCAACGTTGAGGCAGAGCTGTTGAGAAAGTGTGCATTTATTGAAAAGCTTCAGATGTATGCCTCCTGAATGTATAAATCAGGGTGTGAAGTGTCCCCTCTCAAACAGAAACACAAGGCTAAAGGTCTACCCAGTGAACAAAGTGACATCGATAAATATGAGTTAATGCCTTCAAATGTTCTGCTGAGAATTCTATGCTCAAAAACGAAAAAGTTGAGCCCACTGCTATATGTAGTTTCAAGAGCCACGGTAGAGATTTGCACAGGGTATTTTGGGATATAAAGAAGAAACTCTTCTTCTGCTTGGGGTTGTGTGTTTTCCTTCAGGAACTGATGCTTCATAGAGAAATTAAAATCATGAAGGGCATAATATAACCTACGGAAATAAATAATGAGCAAAAGTCAGGTAGTTCCTTAGGGAGAAGAATATTCACTCCCCAAGTGTTGGGGAACATAAAGGATTTCTGTTGTCAAAGACTCAACAGCCCTATCACTTGGATGTCCGCATCATCTCCATCTCTGTTTTCCCCTGCATAATTAGGTGCTTATTTCCTTGTCTTTGGGGCCTGATCAGATTAGCAGGCCAACATTTTACCTCTGCAACCCTGGGTCCAGATAAGCAATGTGTGAAAAGCAAATTTTTCAACAACTGATTTCAATTTAAATCCCTAAACACTCATATCTACTTTATTCTCTTGACCCACGATCTTCAGGAAATCCTTTTGGTTGTTCTACTTCTGTGTGATCATCATTTTCTTCCTTGTCCCTTTGCTCCAGTCAACACTTAGAATGAATGAACCCCGCTTCTTGAAAATCCCAGGAGCCATTCATGCCTTCATCTCGCCCACTCATCCTGACAAAGCAAGGTTCCTTTGCAGTTCTGAAATATTCTGAAACGTCTAATGAACACCAGATGAGCTCTGAAGTTTACATGGTATCTTCGGGGCTTTCTCTATTCACGTCTCATTTTAGTTTTTTTGTCCATAGGCAAATTCTTATTTTTTCAGAAACCGATTAAAGTGTTAAACAAAGCTGAACTATCATCCCAGTTCTCTAAATTTTCTGAAAACTCTGGTTGTATCTTACTATAGAGCTATCTCTAACTCCAACATATATAATTTTCCTAGTCCCTAAAATAGCACCAAAATCTTATCTCCTGGCGCTTTAAATACCTTATAATGGGTGGTAGGATTACATAAGATTTTAGCATTTATGTAATTTTTAACCTGGAATGAACATAGTCATTTGATGAGCATCTATTGTTCTCAGAGAACAAGTCCTATCCAAATTCTCCACAGGACCTAAGATCTAATTTCAGCATGAATGATTGGAAAAGTGCCTCCATATTTTCTGATCTTTTCTTTATTCAGTTATTAAAAGTGTAGCAAAAAACAGTGCTAATATTCTCATTGAAGTACTCTGTTCAACAAAATAGGTAATCTAAATGATAAATGTACACAGTTTCCAGGAGATGCGGTAAAGCAATTTTCATTTGGAATGAAAAACAAATAGGTCTTTATAACATGATTTTTTTCTGAATGGCCCTTTCCTTTAACAAAAGTTAATTATCATTGAGGGCACAGACTCATTCATTTACACCCAATGAAACTGAGCCTTTAAAACGTAAATGATCTGACTTCCAGTTTCTGGCCCAACATGTAAGGAACTTAGAACTCTTCACTCCATCCTAATAACAAGTTAAAAACTAAACAAGCTGAAAAATCAACAACTCTTATTAGATCTGTGAGAGAAGTGAGCTCACAGGGCAAACCTCTGCCTCCAAAACTATGGAGATAGACATTAGACATTCATATACAGAGAATCTCAATGTGTTAGAGCAGAAACCCACAAGCAGAAACCTTTGCAGGGACAAATACCTGGGAAGAAAAATCTAAGCTAATTGATGAACTGCCAGAGGTTCAGTGTGAACAAGCCTGAGGGATAAAACTCCAGGGGTCACAGACCTGGGAGGGCCTTAATAATCTTGTGAATTATACCCAGAAGCTCTAACAGGTCCTTAAAGTGAATATTAAGGAAAAATGCCCTCATGGGAATATTTCACCAGAGCTTAACCTGCTGGGTTTTTAACCTTATGGAAAGGAAACACCCAACTCCAGCCTACTGTAGCCATCCTGTCCCACCTAAGGGAGGATAAAAAAAAAAAAAAAAAACCCAGAAGCACTGGTGAAGTTCACAGTCTAGGGCCCTTGGCTCACCCAAAGATTGGGACCTGATCACAGGACCGTAGAACACTGTTTCTGTCCCCCTCACAAATAGTAGACAACAAGCAAAAACAGATGGATAATGTCAACAGAGAGATGAAAAATTTAAAAAGAATAATAAAGAAATGCTAGAGATCAAACACCATAACAGAAATGAAGAATGCCTTTGATGGGCTCATTAGCCGATTGGACATGGCTGAGGAAAAAAAATTTCTGCATGTGAGGATATAACAATAGCAACTTCCAAAACTGAAAAACAAAGAGAAAAAAGACTGAAAACTGGCAAAAACAAAACAAAACAACAACAAAAAAACAAAAAACAGACGGAATAGCTAAGAACTGTGAGAATACTACAAAAGATGTAATTATGCACAATGGGAATACCAGAAGGAGAAGAAAGAGAGAAAGGATGAGAAGCAATATTTGAAGGAATAATGACTGAGAATTTCCCCCAAATTAATTTCAGACAGCAAACCACAGTTTCGGAAACTCAAACAACACCAAGCTGGACAAATGCAAAAGAAAAAAAAAGTAAATTTCTGCATGTCATGTACAGAGTTCAGTAAATAAATATAAAGAAACAATCTTGAAAGAAGTCAGAGGAAAAAAACACTTTACATATAGAGGCTCAAACATAAGGATTATAACCTTCTTAGAAACCATGCAAGCAAGAAAGTGGTGTAAAATATTTAAACTGAAAGAAAAAACTCATAAAGATTTTCTCAGTTAATCTTGTTTTTGTATTTTTCGTAGAGACGGGGTTTCACCGTGTTAGCCAGGATGGTCTTGATCTCCTGACCTCGGGATCCGCCCGCCTCGGCCTCCCAAAGTGCTGGGATTACAGGCGTGAGCCACCTGCTACTCGGGAGGCTGAGCGGGGGAGAAAGGCATGAACCCGGGAGGTGGAGCTTGCAGTGAGCCGAGATGGCGCCACTGCACTCCAGCCTGGGTGACAGAGTGAGACTCCGTCTCAAAAAAAAAAAAAAAAAAGATTTTCTCAGGCAAATTTGTTGCCGGTAGACACACCTTGCAAAAAATGTTAAAAATTCATCAGATAAGTGACACAGGTCAGAAAATCAGATCTACTTAAATGAGGAACAAACACTGGAGACTGATTAAGTGAAGGTAAAATAAAAACTTTTTAAAAAAATTATTAATTGATGTAACAATTAACAGTTTGTTCAAAATAATAATATCAACAATGTATAGAATTAGAATTATGTGTGCCTCTGTGTGTGTGTGTGTGTGTTTATGTATAAGTGAAATGAATGAAAGCAATGGTATAAGGGATGGGAGGGAGCAATTAGGAATGTTTTGTCATTCTAAGATACTTGCACCATCCGTGAAGCAGTATTTGAAAGTGAATTTGGATTAATTGTAAATATATATTGCAAATTCTAGGGCAACCACTGAAAAAAAAAGAAGTATAACTAACATGCTAAGGAAAGATAGAAAATGAAATCATAAAAAACAATTAAAACCATAAAAGGGAGTAAAAGTATGGAAGGCAAAAATAGAAACAAAAAGCAATGGCAACAAGTAGAAACCAGAAACAAATATGGTAAATATTAACCTAACTCTATCAATAATCACTTTAAAAGTCAACAATCTGAATATACCAATTAAAAACAGAGATTGTAAGAGTGGACTAAAAAAGAAGACCCAATTATATGTTGTTGACAAGAAACCTACTTTAAATATAAAGACATATGTTGATTAAAAGTGAATGGATCGACAAATATGTAGCATGATAATGCTAATTAAAAGAAAGGCGGGGTAGCTATATATTAATTTCATATTAATTTTATGCAGAGCAGACTTCAGAGCAAGGAAGGATGGGTGGATACATAGAATGCAGAGAAGTTTGGTGGCCATGAAACTATTCTGTATACTACAGTGATTAAGAAACTATTCTGTATATCTGTATACTACAGTGACGAAGATATGTCACTATACATTTGTCAAAACCTATAGAATGTACAACATCAAGAATTAACCCTAATATAAGCTATGGGCTTCAGGTGATTATGAAGTGTCAGTGTAGGTTCATCAGTTATAGTAAATATACCACTCTAGTGGGGACGTTGATAACAGCTGCGAGGGGGGTGGTGTCTGTGCATGTCCAAGGGCAGAGAGTATATATTAATAGGAACTCTCTGTACTTCCTGCTTAATTTTGTTGTGAACTTAAAACTTCTCTAAAAATAAAATTTATTCATTTGAAATAATAAAATAATAAAAGTAAGATAAAAGTAAATGACTCGTCCAAGATCACACAACTGGAGAAAATACTTGAAGCTGAAGCTCCTTTTTTGCAGTTTCCCTATTACACCACATCCTACTCACCTGTCAGTTTTAATTTTGTTTCTTATGCTGAAAAATTAGGTACAATATTTGTTTGTCACGAGCCCTTTGCTTTGTAGAGCTTGACTTACTCTTTCATAAATGAATTATAATTTCCCAGATGTTCCTCTAGTTACATTCTGATTAATGCCACGTATATTACGCAGATTGAGAAAATAGGGTTTAGACTCATTTGTATTTCAAGATTTTCCTAAGGCCTCATCTTAACATTTCAGAAGCATACAATTCAAGTACTCTTTTTCTCTTCACAGTGCATCTAATATTTCTTCTCAGGTACACGTGTTCTTCAGAAGCTTCAAGTAGATCATTTCCATGCCAAGAGTTGTTCAATGCCGTAAATTTTAATTTCTTGATTATCTGTTTAAGCATAATCTGTATTTCATTAGTATTACTTATTTCTCCCTAGAGAAAACTACGGACATCTTGCATCTGTTTCTCATAGTCTGATATAAATAATGAAGATAAACTATACATATGAAAAGACAGTATATGGTTTCAAAATATTTTCTACTACAGTCTTATCATTTCAAACTCTTTTATTGAAATTAATATTCTATCTGTTACAATCTTAACTTATAGCAGAAGTGGTGGAAAAATACTGTGAATGGGCATTATTGCCTGCCTTCCATATTCAGCGTTTGCAGACTGTTTCTCCTCCATCAGAAAGTTAGTTAATGTGAATGTCTGGTGATTGGAATAGAGTTCACCAGAATTCTTTCAACTGAGATTTCAAGAATCAAACTAACTTCTACCTTAAGGCAGAGGCATCACTATGCTGAAACTTGAAATAATAGGCTAAATAAAAATTCTATCAGTTAACATCCTTCCAGACCTAGAAAGGAAAAAATAAATAAATTTGAAGTCAAATTAATATTTGTATTTTTAAAAAATGAACTAAAGCACATTTAATAAAACTGTCATTGAGAAACATTGCCTGTATAATTTCAATGTGTGCTTTAAAATTGCAGTTTGTGGAAATATGGAAAAAGGGTAGAGGAAAATATAAAAGAAAAAAAAAGAGGAACTTGGTTTTCTTTCTAATTTTCTTAGAAACAATTAGTTTGGCCATAAGTTCATGGAACCATCTGAGGGATAGTATTAGGGAAAAAAGATAGCAGAAAAGTCCTGATGACTGGTCAGTGGGTGTTATTTGGACCTCTGTCTTCTGGGACTCAGCAAATTAGTAGAAAATCATAGGTTGCCATGATACAGAGGATAATGGAGGTTGATTGATTTTGGTTTTGTTTCATTTTGATTTGGCTTGTTTCGTTAAGAAGGTCTTGAATAAGGTACCTCTTCTAAGGTAGTATCTAATCTAAGAACTGAAATTGCTTTATTCACTCATTCTTTCATTCAACAGAATGCCGGTTTTGAGGCATTCTGATTTAATTAAACTGAGATCTATAGGATGAGAAGACAGATGAAGGGCAAAAGCAAAAGGACCACATATGCAAAGGTCCTACAGCTGTCAAAAGATTTGAGAGAAAGAAAAGTCAATGTGGCTGCAAAACAAACTCTGAAGAGAAAATTGGTAAGAGATGTAATTAGGAATATAAACAGAAACCCTCTTATGTAATCCCTTGAAGGGCTTTATAAAGGGTTGAAATTATTTTCTTAGAGCCATTAAAGGACTTTCAATAATGACGGCTTATAACTTATATATTTTAAGTTTACTTTTGTCTGTGTAATGGATGGATTAGAACAGCGGTTCTCATTGGAGGGTGATTTTGTTCCCCAGGAGACATTTAGCAATGTCTCCCCCTAGGAGATGGTTTTGGCTCTCAAAACTACAGAAGGAAGGGGGAGGGTGTTACTCACATCTAGTGGGTAGAGGCCAAGGCTGCTGCTAAATATACTATAAGGCACAGGACAGATCTCCTGCCTCCATCCCCAAAAAGAATTATTCTGCCCAAAATATCCATAGTGCAAAGATTGAGAAACTGTGGAATGAAGAAAGCAACCAAGGATACAGGGAAATTAAATTAAATGACCATCCCAGTGGTCTACGTAGAAATAATGGTGTTTTTCAAAGTGGTTTGTATTGAAGTGGACAGAAGTGGATTGACTCAAGATGTGGTTTATAGAAATACTGATAGAACTGGACTTCTAGTTTTGATAATGGCAGATTATTCAAATCACTGATGAAAATTACTGACTCAGTCGGTTTGTGCTGCTATAATAAAATATCACAGGCTGGGTAATTTACAAACAGCAGAAATTTATTTTCTCACTGTTCTGTAAGTTGGGAAGTCCAAGGTCAAGGTGCTGGCAGCTTTGGTATCTGGTGAAGGCTCATTCTTTATAGATGGTGTCCTTACATGGCAGAAGAGACAGAAAGGGCAAAAGAGGATGAACACTGTCCTCATATGGCAGAAAAGAGAAAACCTATTCCCCGAAGCTCTTTCTATAAGGACCATAATCCCATCCAGGAGGGCCCTGCTCTCATGACTCAATCACATTCTAAAGGTCCACACCTCCTAATACCATCACTTTCACTTTCACCATCAAAAGTTTCAACATATGACTTTGCAGGGCACACATTAAGACCATAACAACTACTAAGGAAGGTAGAGTTATTTTTTCAAAATCTTTTAAAGGTAATCCAAGAGCTAACAAATACATGAGAAATCAATAGACTAACATCCAAAAAGGGATGAAAATTCAGAGACATGAGCCAAATATTTGAGGGGTTTTGCCCTGTATTTGCCCATCCAGGAGAGGAGTCCCAGAGGTTGAGTTGTACTTTTAATATCCTCAAGAAGTGTAGGAAATACAAGTCAGTCCAAAGTTTGGCAAGAGTGGGAACTCTGCTGAGCCATCTCTACCTTGGCCTTGCACCCTGGTGGGATATATCATGAAAGATAGGTGAACTGAAGGCAAAATAGCACTTGCACGGATGGCACCCAGCTTTTAGCCATCTGGGTGACCTAGCAAAATTTCAGGCATGGAAACTGGATTAGGATAATCTTTAATTACTAATGCACAGGTACCTGTCTGAGACAAAAATCCTTTACAGAGAAATATAATATTCTCTACACATTTTTCTACAAATATTTGATCAAGCCAAGAATAAAACCAAACCTAATTAGATACATGAGAAGACATGACTAGCAGATGTAAAACGAATAAAAATAAACCAATCAATACTTCAAATCTTGGAATTTTCAGTCACAGAATATAAATCAACTATATTCAAGGAGGAAAAGTTCAATCCTAATAATTTCAAACAGAGACTCAGAAACTCTTAAAAAGTGACAAGACAAATGGGCAAAGAAACCAAATAGAAATTCAATAATTGAAAAATACAACAACAAAATGAAGAATTCAATGGATGGTTGATGTAGTTGAAGGGATAATTAGTGAAATAGAAGAAAATATCACTAATTAAGCAGGGAAAGACAAAAGGATAGAAAATTCAGAATTGAGCACAGAGCAGACAGGGAGAGGTTTAATACACATTTGATTGAGCCTCAGGGTACAGGAAAGAGATAAGAAGCAGAAGCCACATTTGAAGAGAAAATGGCTAAGAATTTTTCAAAACTGCTGATAGATATCAATTTACAGATTCAAAAACCTCAACTACTTCCAATAGGATATATGAAACTGCTTCACAGCTAGACAAATAATCAAAGGTGAAATGAAAATCTAAATTGGGTGAGTGGGTGCCATTCACCAAAATGAAAAAAACTGGGGTAGGAGAAATGAAAAGTAAGAATCTAATCCTACAAGTATTTTGCAGCTGTAACATAATAAAATTCTTTAGCTAAATCAGGATCATGACCAAATAACACAAGATTTTTTTTTAACTAAAAGAATGCCACAAGTGAGATTGAGTGTTCCTCCTAAGTGTTCCTCTAACATACAAACACTCATCACACATTATTATAGTCATTGGTTTACTTGCTATAGACTAAGCACTTTGAAAGTAAGAGTAATGTCTTTCATCTGTTATCCTCAGAACAGATTCACTTTGCCTGGCAAAGAGAATGTTCTCAATAAATTTTCATTATGTCCCTTGTATCACTTAGGACTAGTATTTGGTTGCTAGGAACAAATATCCAAAATACGAGTGACTTAAACAAGATTCATGTTTATTTTGTCTCACATAAATGAAGTTTAAACGCAGGCAGTGTCAAGCTGAAAAACAGTTCCTACTTTTACCAATTTTCCAAGTGTATCCTTTCTTATTTCCCATCCTTAGTGCATGACTTCTATACTTAAAGTCCACTCATGTCTATAAGACATCCACTCCAGCTCCAGCCATCACATCTGCACTCAGGGCAGGATAAGCAAAGAGCAAAGAGTGTGTTTCTCAAAGCTCAGTTAGCCCTCTTTAAAGTGCTTTTCCAGAAACTCCACCCAATAAATTCTAGTCATATCCAGTGTTTCAACTTCTACTGCCCCTACCAGAGTCTTACCTTCTGCAATTTCCTCTGTTCTCCCAATTTGAAACCTGTTCTGCTTTTCTCCCTACCCCTAGTGGACTACTAAAGCTACTTCCTCAATGAAGGAAAATACATTTCTAGAGTTTCAAGGGAGAAAATAGAATGTGTTTTCTTGAATGTTCTCAATAGTGCTTATATTGTACAGTATCATTATGTTACAATCAAGTTATTCACTATTAAATGAGTTTCTCTAGCCTAAACTTAGAACTGAAACACCACTTAGCATTTGTTTAAATTAGAAAGTTGTTTATGATTATACACAATTGCCCTAGAAACAAATTTCTGAAACATAAACATTTGTTAGGAAGTGTCAATATTGTTATGTGTGCTAGAACCCTGGTAGTGCACAAAGTAGTGTGCAATGCACTTTGGAATATTTGGTCATTTTTAACTTTTCCCACTTCATTATTTCTCTTGCTATTCTCTTATTGGAATACATTTGTTTTGTTTTGTTTTTAACCAAGGACTTAACTGTGTCCCCATTATGATCTGAAATGTATTATTTTTTCTCTTGAGCCATAACAGGAGATGACTTGCTGGTGTCCTGAGTGTGGCAGATGGTCCAAACTTAGTTTCCATGTCACAGAACTCAGCTACTAGATAAAATGACACTTGTAATATCCTGCATATTTCATATAGTAAACCCAGTAGTGAGGTTCTATCATTTCAAATCATATACTCTGAATATTTCTTGACATGAAAGTGAGTGAGTACTAGTTTGCTTGTGTTAATTCCTTGAAATTGTAGACGTGTGTTCAAGAATTATTTGAAATATTGCTAATTGTTTATTTTGTAAAGATATCTGATATAGAACCATATGGCTTCATTCTGTTATTTTTTTACATCTTTATAATGGCATATTATAAACTAGCAAAATCTCAGGGCAAACCCTGAAAACACAAAGTTAAAGGCACATTACAAATAGCTTAAATTAGGTCTTACACAGAATTTTATATCTACCCAGTATGTTTCATCATTTTGCAAGCATTATACTATATTAATACTAGAAAAATACTTACATAAATTATTGAGCTTTGGAGTGTAATTCTCCATTTTAGATGTTTCTCTGTGGTTGAGAATTTTGTTTTTTTATTCTGAGATTTTTAAATTATAACAGTCAGAATTATTTGATTTTTAAAACTACGTACATGTGACATATTGATTTTTATTTTCTAGAAATGAAATAGAAATTGATGAAGTTAGAATTGTTCTTAATATTGTCTTATAAAATTGGTAGAAATAGCATGAATTGGAGTAGATGGATTTGGTTTTCAGTCTTTATTCTTTCAGTTATTATCTCTATAACCTTATCTGTGTTATTTAATTTTTCTGAGATTCCATTTTCTTACCTAAAAATTAGGAAAAAAATTTTTTAAAAAAGTCATGGTGATGGCTAATGAAGATTTTTTTGTGTAAAAAGAGTGTCCATTTTTCCTTCCTTTTCCTTGGGTATATTGTGAGATGCTTCATAAGAATTTATTTTCTTCCTTAGTGTTTGCAACAACGTGAGACACACAGTAAATGTTTAGTAAATTTTA
Source organism: Homo sapiens (assembly GCF_000001405.40). Taxonomy (NCBI): domain Eukaryota; kingdom Metazoa; phylum Chordata; class Mammalia; order Primates; family Hominidae; genus Homo; species Homo sapiens. The sequence goes on along the minus strand of NC_000011.10, from coordinate 30,616,467 downwards.
GTTGAGTTGAAATGAAATAAAATATCTTACAAAAATGCTAGAAATGTATGGAGATTTTGTATTCATTCTTGTAGTCTCTAAATATTTCCATGTTTTTACTTAGGGTGTACCTCCTTATAATACACTTTCTAGGCTGGGTGTGGTGGCTCATGCTTGTAATTCCAACTCTTTGGGAGGCTGAGACAAGCAGATTGCTTAAGCCCAGGAGTTTGAGACCAGCCTGGGCAACATAAACCTTGCTTTACAATACATTAAAAAAAAAAAAATCCGGCCATGGTAGTACACACTTGTCCCCGTTACTCAAGAGGCTGATGTAGGAGGATCAATTGAGCCCAGGAGTTTGAGGTTGCCGTAAGTTATGATGGCACTATGCACTCCAGCCTGGGTGACAGAGCAAGACCTTAAGTTAAAAAGAAAACAAAGCAGACAAACAAAAATTTCTGTTTTAATACTACCAGGCTAGGTTAGATACCTATCCTGTATGCTCCTACAAATTCACTCTGTGTCTCCATTAAAATATTTATTATATTCCTTTATATTAATCTATGTATTGGTTGTCCCACTCACTAGACTATAAGGTCCTTGAAAATCTTCTTTATTTTTGTATTCCTAGAATACAAAAATGCAGAGTAATTGACACAAAGCGGGTTTAAGAAATATTTATTCAATAAAATATTAATGAATTAGTCTTCAGCATTTGAATTCAGCATCGTATATGCCATAGTCTCTCCATTCATTAACTCAAACGCTGAAGGAGGCAAGCTCAATATAAAGAGTTTTCTGAGCATGTTTTTTGTCCTCTTATATTAAAACAAGAAAAACATAGAGGCAGGAGGATAATTTAGTAGAAGCTTAAATAAATGAGCATAGATTCCCACCCCTGCTGATCACAGGAGTCACAGAATTTAGGTATTGAATTCAACCATATTAACTATCTACTAAGACAAAACTCACTCTTTACAATAATACAACAGAACCTAGAATCTAGCATATTCAGTAATCTTCAACAGCAGTGCCAACAATACAAAATAGAGAAAGAATAGCTCATTCAATAAATGGTGTTGGTCAAATTATATCTACATGCAAAAGAATGAAACCGGACCTTTATTATATGTGATACACAAAAAATCAACTCAAAATTAAAGAGTTAAACATAAGACTTGAAGCTATAAAACTCCTAAAAAAAATCCTTGACACTGGTCTTGACAATGAATGTTTGGATATGACACCAAAAGCATAGACAACAAAAGCAAAAACAAACATGTGGGGTTAAATTAAACTAAAAAGGTTTTGCACAACAAAGGAAACAATCAATAAATGAAAAGACAACCCATGGAATGGGAAAATATTTGCAAACCATATCTCTGATAAGGGATTAACATCTAAAACACATAAGGAAATCATACAACTCAATAGCAGTAAAACAATATAACCTGACTTAAAAATGGGCAAAGGACCTGAACAGATGTTTCTCTAAGGAAGACATACAAATGGCCAACAGATATATGAAAATGTGCTCAACATCACTAACCATCAGGGAAATGCAAATTAAAATCACAAGGAGCTATCACCTTATGTCTATTAGTTATTATTATTTAAAAAAAGAGATAGTAAGTGTTGGCAAGAATATGGAGAAAATGGAACTCTGGTACACTGTTCATGGAAATGTAAATTGGGGCAACCATTATAGAAAACAGTATTGAGAGTCCTCAGAAAATTAAAAATAGAACTACCATTTGATTCAGTAATCCTACTTCTAGATATTTACCCAAAATAATTTAAATCAAGATCGCAAGGAGATATCTGCAGTCCTATGCTCATTGCAGCATTATTGACAATAGCCAAGATACGGAAACTACCTAAATGTCCATGGATGAATGAATAAAGAAAATGTGGCATATGTATATAGAATGGAATATTATTCAGCATTAAAAAAGAAAGAAATCCTGCCCTTTGTGACAATATGTATGAACCCGGATGAAATTATGCTAAGGGAAATAAGCCAGACACAGAAAGAAAAATACTATATGATGTCATTTATATATGGGACTTAAAATAATCACACTCATAGAAACAGAGAGTAGAATAGTGTTTGCTAGGGGTAAGGGGGAGGGGAAAACAGGGAGGTGATGGTCAAAGGATAAAGTTTCAGTTATGCAAGATAAGTTCTAAAGGTTTACTATGCGGCGGCCAGGCATGGTGGCTCATGCCTGTAATCCCAGCACTTTGGGAGGCCCAGGCAGGGGGATCATAAGGTCAGGAGTTCGAGACCAGCCGGGCCAAAATAGTGAAATCCTGTCTCTACTAAAAATACAAAAATATTAGCGATGCGTGGTGGCAGCTGCCTGTAATCACAGCTACTTGGGAGGCCGAGGCAGGAGAATCGCTTGAACCTGGGAGGCGAGATGGAGGTTGCCATGAGGCGAGATCTTGTCACCGCACTCAAGCCCAGGTGACAGAGCAAGACTCCATCTCAAAAAAAAAAAAAGGGTTTACTATGCAGCATAGTGCCTATAGCTAGCTGACAATACTGTATTACATACTTCAAATTTGTTAAGACAAATAAAGAGTTGTTATGTTGTTACCACATCCACAAAAATAACAGTAATAAAAGGCATGAGAGGAAGCTTCGGGAGGTGATGAATATGTGTATGACTTTCATGGTGGTAATGGTTTCATGAATGTATACTTATCCCCAAACTCATCAAGTTGTATACCTTGAATACACACCGATTTTTATATGTCAAAAAATATAAAATCTAATAATATTTTAATAAATAAGTTTCAAAAGATTAAGTGTAGAGTTTATAGAGTATATTTTCTCACCACAGTAGAATTAAGTAACAACAAGATATTTGGAGAGTCTCACATACTTGGAAATTAAATAACATAGTTCTCAACAATTCATGGGTCAACAAAGAAAGAAATCAAAAGGAAATTTTAAAATGTTTCTAACTGAATGATAATGAAATTTAGCACATCAGAAATGACAAGATGCAATTAAAACAATGCTTATAGGGAAGTTTATAGCTTTAAGTGTTCATAGTAAAAAGAAAGACAAGCTTCAATTATTTATCTATATTTTCAATCTTAAGAAGTTAGAAGAAAAAGAAAATTTAATCTAAATGAAGTAGGAAAAAGCAAATGTAAAGAGAAGAAATCAATAAAATTGAAAACAATGAATAAAATCAACAAAATTAACAATTTAGTTCCTTGAAAGTATTAAGACAAAAATTTAAACCTAGAAAGATTGATCATGAAAAAATACAAAATACCAATATCAATAATAAAAAAGATTCCACTATAGACCATTCAGACATCAAAATGAAAATAAGGGCATACTATTAACAATATTATATGAATACATTTGACATCTTTAATAAAATCAACTAATTATTTGAAAAGACACAACTTAGAAGCAAACATGATAAAATGGGATATTTGGACACTCGTATTTCTATCTAAGAAAATAATCTGTTATCAAAATCTTCCTCAAATACACACAAAAATAAACAAGCAAAAACACTCCAGTCTCAACATTTTCATTGGTAAATGCTATCAAATATTTAAGAAAGAAATAATGCTTATCTTCCACAAACTATTTCAGAAAATAGAGAAAGAAGAAACATCTCTAAATTTATTCTAGGAAGCAATAGTAATCCTGATATCCCAATAGAAAGAAAGAAAGTGAGAGAGAGGAAGGAAGAAAGAGGAAACAAAAGAAAGAAGGAAAGAAAAAGAGTAAAGAAAGAAGAAAAATTGTAGATCAAAGTGTCTCCCGAAAATATATGAAATAAATAACAATATATGAGGAAATTTTTAAAAATGCAGAAAGGTAACACATCAAGCCAAGCAGAGTTTATCCCAGGAATGCAAGGTTGATTTAACATTTGAAAATTAATAAATACAATACTACATACAACTGAACAAAGGAAAAACATACAGTCATTTTAATATATGTAGAAAAAACATTTGACAAAATTTCTCACTCATTACTGATAAAAACTCTCAGCAAACTGAGGAACAAAAATGCTGGGAGAGCTGGCTCCCACCTGTTATCCCAATGACTTGGGAGGCTGAGATGAGAATATTGCTTGAAGCCCAGAGTCTGAGGCTGCAGTGAGCTATGATCACACCACTGCACTTCAGTCTGAGCAACAGAGAGAGACCTCATCTCTAAAAAAAATAAAAATAAAAAAATAAAAAGAAGAAAACTTCCTCAATCTGATATAAGACATCTATGAAAAAGTCATAGCTAATGACATACAGAATGCTTTCTCCCCTAAAATTAAAAAAAAAATAAAAAAGTAAGTCTGCTTTCACTCCTTTATTTAACATAGTAGTGTAGGAAAAAATAAAGGAAAGGAAAAATAAAGTTGTCTCTGTAGGCAGATGACATAATTGTTTCCATGAAAACAAATTAATAGAACTAATAAGTGAGTTTAGTAAGGTCTCATATATAAAGTCAGTTTTTTTTCAATATATACATATTTTTATTATACTTTAAGTTCTAGGGTACATGTGCACAAAAGAGACATTTATGCAGCCAACAGACACATCAACATGAAGTCAGTTTTTTTAAAACAAATGAATATCTATTCACAACAAATATTTGAAAAAGAATGTTTTAACATGGCATAAAACATATAAATTAAGAATCAATTTAATAAAGATTCAAAAACTTCTACGTGAAAACCAAGACATTAAAGAAGTACTAAATAAATGGAGAGATATACTATGTTTATGGATTTGTAGAATCAATAGTATTAAGATGTAAATTCCCCCTAACATAATATGTAACTTCAACACAGTCCCTTTTAAAATCACTTCAGGCATTTTTATAGAAATTCATAAACTGATACTAAAATGTATTTTAAAATGCAAAAGATTTATAATAGCCAAAACAATTTTTAAAAAAGAATACAACTGAAGGTCCTATACTAAATAATTACATTAAAACTTCCATAATAAAGACTGTAGTCTTGTCATATTGGCTAAGGACAGACAAATAGATAATGGAACAGACTGGGGAGTCCAGCAATAAGCCTACACTTAGGCAATAAGTTATTTTTTGAGAAAAGCTCCAAAGTAATTCTATGAAGAAAGAAAAACTGTTCAGCAAATTGTTCTGGAACAACTGGTGTACATATGGAAAAGAATAAACCACAATCGTTATCTCATACCATACATGAAAATTAATTTGAGCTGGGTTATAGATAAAAATCTAAAAGTAAAACTACAAAGCTTTGGGAAGAAAATATAAGAGATTATCTTTGTAACTTGGGAGTAGACAAAGATTTATTTACAGAGCAATATCTGTAAAAGAAAATATGAATAAATTAAACTACATCAAAATTAAAAGTTGTTGCTGTTCAAATTCTACTCTTTAAAATAAACAGGTCGGGGTGTGGTGGCTCACTCTTATAATCTCAGCACTTTGGGAGGCTGAGGCGGACCAATCACTTGAGTCCAGGAGTTCAAGACCAGCCTGGGCAATATGGCAAAACCCTGTGTCTACAAAAAAATACAAAAAAAACAAAAACAAAAACAAAAAACAAAACTAGCTGGGAGGTGTGGTGGAATGCACCTGTAGTCCCAATTACTAAGGAGGCTGAGGTCGGAGAGTCACCCAAGCCCGGAAGGTCAAGGCTGCAGTGAGCTGAGTCATTATTGTGCCACCACACTCCAGCCTGAGTGAAAGAGTGAGACCTGCTTCAAAATAAAATAAAATACAGGCAAGCCACACATACCAAGAATACATTCATAAGATACATATTCTGAATATATAAAGAACTTCTACACTCACTCAATAATAAAAGACAAACAACTCAATTTAAAAATTGGGCAAAGCACTTGAAAACACTAGTTAAAGAATGAAGCAAATGAAAAAGGTATGCAATACCATTACTTCTTAGAAATATGCAAATTCAAATCACAATGAGGTGCAACTCCACACTCAGTAGAATGGTAAAATATAAAAAGCATGACAATACCAAATATTTGCAACATTGTGACGTGACTGGAACTCTCATATATTGATGATGGGAAAGTAAAAAGGCAATTCACCTATAAAAAAGTTTTAGTAGTTTAGTATGAAGTTAAGTATCTACCCTTGACCCAATAATTCTACTCCTACTTATCCGAGAGACATGAGAAAAATGATCACCAAAAAAAATGTATAAGAATATTCATTAAAAATTTATTCAAAAGACACAAAACCAGGAAACTTACCAGATCCGCAAACTGGAGAAATCAAAGTATATCCATACAGTGCAATTCCAACAGGAGTGAATTGTTAATACACACAACATGAATGAGTATCACAGATATGCTGGCCAAATAAAGCCAGACACAGAAGTGTACATACTTCTGATTTCACTGCATGTTGTATGTTTTTATGTTTGCATATATTATAAAAGAGGCAAAACTAATACAAGGGTTAAAAAATATCAGAAATGTGGTTCCTTCACGGGTAGGATAGGAATTGCCTGGGGGGGTACAGGAGGCAATCTTCTTAGGAGATTGAAAACTCTGTATTATGGTAAAGATATGGTTACCCAGGGACATCCATTAGTCAAACTTGTACAACTAAGGTTTGTTTATTTTAGGCTGGGTGTGGCAGATCCCAGCACTTTGGGAGCCTGAGATGGGAGGATTTCTTGAGGCCAGAGGTTCAAGGTTACAGTGAGCTATGATTGCACCAGTGCACTCTAACCTGAGTGACAGAGCGACACCTTGTCTCTATTAAATATATATATACACACACACACACACACACACACACATATACACATATATGTATATATATTTGTATATTTTCATGTGTAAAATTTTACTATAAAAAACTATAGAAATTATAATATTTTGGTGAGGGAGTAGGGATTGGATGGAGGTATAGGTGAAATAAGAATAACAGAGTATTGATAATTGTTGAAGCTGGGTGATGATAACCTATGGATTCATTATGCAATTCTATTTACTTTGTATATTTTTGAAATTTTCCATAAAAAAAGTTCATAAAATCAAACACTACTTATATCATCATCTAATATATGTTTTTATATTAGATCCATACCAAGTTCACATACTTTATAAGAATAGTGTTTGGGACATACTTTAGTATTTCAATATTTCATTCATAAGGGTTGCTCTATGCATATCTGTACAAGAAAATCACTCTCATACAACCTAAGTTTGTCATAGTCTGGGTAATTCAAAGATACTTTTAAATAATCAAACAAGCCAACAAGCACAGTCAACTTCATGAAGTAAAGAACATGGTGGCAAAAGCATGAAGACTTTATATTAAAAATGACAGTTTTTAATAAGAATCGTAAGATCATAGAATTAAGCATCAGAACAATGTATGAATAAAGCTAGACAAAATTGTCCCAACATCAATCAATGCATCAGAGTCCAATAGAAGAAAAAAGAAAAATAATCCACTCTGAGTATTTAAAACAAGAGGATTGTAATGCAGGGAATTGATTACATTTTGCTCCTCTGCTGACAGAGGAGCAGAAAAGTCAAAGTGGGAATAGTGAGGTAACCCAGAGATTAGCAACAACCAGAAATGTCTACTACCACTTTGCTGGAGAGATAAAGGGAAGGGGCCCATGAACAAAGCCCAGAGGCTAAAGTCTCCTATTGGAAGTTAGATCCATAAAAGGTTTATCCAGTAAGACCTAAAAACAGGAGGAGATGCAGCTGCTTGTGAAGATGCCACCCAGAGAGAGAGGTCTGGATAAAAACTCTCCCACCCTCTCATCTCCAGCCAGTGGCTCCCATTGGCCAAAGGCATCTGACATAGGAGCCTGGGAAACAGACTGCAGAGGATTTAAGAATCCTTAGATCCAAGAAGAGGATTACATCCAGAAAAAAGTGGATAATGAAGAAAAAAATTAACATATGCTTTGGCACAAAGCCTATGTGCTTCCATCTCTATCAACTTTATTGAACTTCATCGGTTCTTCAGTTTCATGTTGGACATTGCAGACAGCACAGATGTTACTGTCTAAACGATTGCTTATAAAGCTTTCCATCTCCTTTCTCACTCCAGTTGGGGGTGGACTTACAATAGAGCTAATAATTCATAAACCTCAGGGTACCTCTCTTGCTCCAGTCTCTTCCAAGGCCCTGGGAAAGATCCTAGTAATTTTTTTTATAAATTTACAATTATATGTTCTTTTTCCTTTTTTTTTTTTTATTTTTGAGACAAAGTCTTGCTCTGTCACCCAGGCTAGAGTGCAGTGGCGTGATCTCAGCTCACTGCAACCTCCACCTCCTGGGTTCAAGCGCTTCTCCTGCCTCAGCCTCCCAAGTAGCTGGGATTACAGGCGCCTGCCACCATGCCTGGCTAATTTTTGTATTTTTTATTTTTTGTATTTTTAGTAGAGACAGGGTTTCATCATCTTGGTCAGGCTGGTCTCCAACTCCTGACTTCGTGATCCACCTTCCTCGGCCTCCCAAAGTGCTGGGATTACAGGCCTGAGCCACCACACCCAGCCATTTTTTTTTTTTAAAGTTAAGTCCAGGAGAACACACACACACACACGCACAAAAAAAGGGGGATCCAAAAAATTATATAAGCTTCTCATCCCATAAAACCTGAATTTGCTCCTTTCCTAACTGCTCTCTTTCCCCTCATATCTAAGTTAGTGCCTTTTTCCAAATTTTCTTCTTTAACTCCTATCCTATCAAATGAAACCAAGACTCTGGATAGGAAAAGCTGGGAAAATTCTAATTCCACACAGCAAGGTGTAAAAAAAAAAAAAAAAAAAAAAAAAAATTACGCCCCTTATGGAAACTTTCTTTACAATAGTAATCACAAACTCAAGGTCTTCCTGGGATCCAGGCAGATGACAAATGAATGAGAAAGGATAGGTGGTAACTAGGACAGCCCCAGGGGCTGATGCCCAGGTTGAAGTGAGCAACTGTTACTCAGCTTTGGCCAATTGTTGCACGAAATTGAGTTCGCTGTGTCCAGATCTTCCTTTAAAATAAAAACCTGAAATATGATTTCTTTTTTCTATGAAAAACTGTGAACTCTTTTGATTTTTAAATGCACCCTCAAAAAACTTTAATCCACCACTGAGCAAAACAAATAACATCCAGCAATATATTGAACCTCTGGGCTGCCAGTTTACAACATTTGCTTTATAGACAACATGCATAACTTGAGAAATTTATAACACATCTTTATAAGGAATCTGATTCTTTCTACTCCCAAAGTCAAAGCCAAGAGAAAGAAAAGAATAAAGCTACTCCAAGAAGTCTCTGTCCAAGGTCTATAACAGGTTGATTATAATTTATTATAATAAAAAGTTAGATTCCACTAAATCAGTTTAGTGCCAAGCACTGTGCTGGTGCTGGGATATAAATATAAGAGAGGTGAAGCCAAAAGATTAGGACAGGCTACCAGATTTATAACTACATAGAATACTGTGACGATAAAATAGCTAACAGGTACCTAGATATGAAGTGCCAGGCACTGTGCTCAGTGTTTTTGTCAATCAGACAGTCAGTCAACAAACACGTTAGGCCAGGCGCTGTTCTTTGTGTTTGGATAAAGCAATGAACAAAATAGATAACCCTAACTCCTAGAAATTTAGAATCCAGTGGAGGAAGATAGAAAATAAGCCTGTGATATAATAAAGAAAATAAGGTGATGAGGTAGAGAGAGACCGGGGAGATAAAGGCTGTCTAGGCTGGTGAGGAAAGGCCTCTATGAAGAACTGACTTTGAATGGAGACCTGACTTATGAGAAGGAGGCAACCATGAAGCAAGCTTTATGATGTTTATTCCAAGTAGAAGGGAAACCAAATGCTAAAGGTCCCAAAAGGGCTGCAAGTTTGGCATAACTGAGGAATGGAAATGAAGCCAGTGTGACTAGAGTAAGGGAAGAGTAGAAGATGAACGCAAAGAGGAGGCAGGGCCCATATGGCATTGTAGACCATGATTGGGAGTGTGGATATTCATCTACAGTGCTCAAGGAGCTGCTGCTTTCAGCAGTGCCCTGGTGTGTTCTGATTTAAGCATTAAGATCACCCTGGCTGGCCAGAGGAGGAGGAGGCTCTTCTGATGTGAAGGCTGAGCTGATGATGGCCTGGACTAGATTATACCAGTGCTATTGGTGAGAAATGGGCAGATTTCTCATTTATTTACTTTTTTTTTTTTCTTGATACAGAGTTTCATTCTGTTGCCCAGGCTAGAGCACAGTGGCACAATCTCGGCTCACTGCAACCTCTGCCTCCTGGGTTTAAGCGATTCTCCTGCTTCAGCCTCCCAAATAGCTGGGGCTACAGGTGCACACCACCATGCCCAGCTAATTTTTGCATTTTTAGTAGAGAAGGGGTTTCACCATGTTGGCCAGGCTGGTCTCGAACTTCTGGCCTCAAGTGATCATCCCGCCTCAGCCTCCCAAAGTGCTAGGATTACAGGCTTGAGCCGCCACACCCAGCTTTATTTACTTATTTTTAATAGACTGAATATATGGTCTGAAGGCAAGACCTAAAACAAAGATGATATCTTGACTTGGACCTGTCAGGATCTGCTCAGGCCACCACCACTGGCACCACCTCCATTACCTTTGTCTACTAAGCAATTACCATTGACCAGCCACCTTCATGTCAGCACCATTCCCAAGCCCCATTACTCTTTGTCGAAGCTGATGCTAGGCTAGATTCTTAGGTCATTTATAGAGTCAGTAAGTTAAGTATTTCTCTTTATCAAGTGGTATGGAAGTATTTCAACACTGTAACAACTGGTATAACCATACTAAGTCATACCAGCTGAACATCACTCCTAGATTAAGAAGTCAGAAATGTATCCTGTTTGACATAGGACATTGGTGAACATTTCTGGTCAGGAGAATGACAGGATCGAAGTAGGATTTCCTACTAAAGATTGTGCTGGCAGCTGTGTGCAAGATAAGTTAGAGAGTGCAGGGGTAAATGGGAGGCAAGGAAATCAATTAGCAGGTTATTCCAGAAGAGGCACGAGATAAGGTGAGAAGAACACACAAATTCCCTAAAGGGTTTTGCTGTGAAACTTAGACCCTGCCTTGATAGGAGGAAGATAATGTAATCCCTTCCCCCTTTAAATTGATTTGTTGGAGCTTTGTTTTGTTACTGAGGGTACCAAGTGAATATATCACTGTCACCTACATGCCCTGTGGGTAAATGATAAAATTACCATCGCTGCTTCCTCTTTCTTGAAAGAATGAACTTCAGAACTCTGTGGTACAGAATGGGCTAGATTAGGAGTAAGTTTCTGAGATAACTGGGTACTTTCCAATGACAGAATCATTCTATGAATCTGTGACATGTTGGTTAACCTGGTGGACAGGGGGAGATGCACACCTGACTTGAAGAGTATTGAAAAATCCTTAAAATATATCTTTGCTTATTTATGAATGTCAGAATAGAACAATTAAGAGAGAGAGAGAGGAAGAGACAGAGAGATAACAAAATACTAACAATTGGTTAGTACTTTGGTGAATCTAGGTGAGGGGTATGTGAATAATCATTGTATTGTTTTACAACTTTTCTGTAGTTTTAAAATAATTCAAAATAAAAAATGGGGAGGGAATAATTTGTTTATTTACTAATTATAATTTCTGGGAACTAGCTGACCTTTGTTTTTGTAATTTTCATTTTAATGAGTCATTTTATTTTCACTCTTGGAAAGGTCTCTATATGGGTTAAATGATAAAGTGAATACCATATGCCCAAATCAAGGGGTCAGGATTTTAAACATTACCTAATGTCAGCGGCCTTTTTCCTTCCTGCGTTCATTTCCCTGTTATTACACAGGCAAGGATCCTTTGTATGGCTGTAGAGTTTCTAAAAAGGAAAAGCCACCTGTGCTCCTCTTTACCATAATAGTAATTCAGACTGACACAGAAAATACAATCATTAGATGTTTTGCATTATCTATTTATGATTTGTTTGTTTAGGTTTCTGATAATTTTGAAAGTGTCTGCTGTGTTGAACAAATTTGATATAATAAGAATGTCAGAGTACACTTTAAATTCTATTTATTTTTCAGTCTATCACTTTGAAATACATTCTTGAAATAAAAATGTTCAAATCATCCTAGCTTCTTTAAGCTTGAACAAATTCCAATGCAATCCCAGTTACTGTTAGAAGCCCAAAAATAACATTTTTGCTTTGTGGTTTACTCACACCTTAAAATATTAGATTGAACCACATGAAATCGACATTTTGTAGATCAAAAACAGTCAAATATTGACAGTTTCATATGATTCACTCTATTAGAATCAACACATTTCTTGCAATGTCGACATCAGATAAAAATATCATTCATATTGCCTATTATATATAATTTCCTCCCTGATGAAAGCTCCTCATAGTTTACAGAAACATAGAGACTTATAGTTTATAGAGCCTCAAAGCATGTCCCCAAGGCAGTTTGTTAAGATAAATGTAAATTCTCATACAAACTTAAAAATGATGTCGTTCAGCATGTAGCATCCAACTCATTATTCTATTATTTCTGGGTTGGCAGTATTGAAAGAATAGAAACAATTAAGGTTAGCTCTTTTTTTTTTTTGGATTTTTTTTTTTTGCATATCTTAGTGACCTGTACACATTCTGGAACTGTTCAAATACCTTTATGGTGGATTCCATGATTGTTGTCGTCAAAGTATATCACTTCTTTGCCTGTCAAATGAAAACCCCACTGAAGGTGGTTAAAAGTTCACTAAGTAGTGTTAATCTATTGGGCAACCTATATCTTTTCCTTTCATTTTTTCCTGAATTACAGCTTCCGATAACCCCTGACAGGTGAAAAACCACACATTGAATCCTCTTACTCTCTTTTTTTAACAAGTGCATATTTTCAATTTAGCATGTATCATACTTAAATGCCAAATCCTGAACGTACCTTATGATGCAATAGGGCATAGATTATCCTAACTGCTCTGGTAAGTGCTATAAAAAAAAGGTCTCTGAATAATTCTCATAATTTGGCTCACTGACAACACTGGAATATTTTTTGCTTGACATAGAAAATGTATTTTCCCCTCAAATGATTAGTGTTTCCCTTGGATATTTCTCATTAATACCCTTAAATATTGTAGTCCTGAGAATTGCAGTTTTTCTAAAAGCAAAAAATCACATAAATTCTCTTTTGGAACTAAACTCTCTTAACAGAACATAAAATATTGGAGCTTCAGTACAACGTAGCTGCTCTTACCATTTCAAACTATAGTGGCAAAATAAAGAAGTAACTGAGATTTGGACTTGTTTACTTATTTAATTCACAAAATCATTTTTTATGCCAGGTGCTCTGAAAGCTCATTACTCTTGTCAATAAAGAGTCTTTTTTCCTTTTTTGACAAAAAAAACTCTACACTTTCTAATGTTACCTAGTATCCCAGTAGTAAAATTGGCAGAAGATAAAAGAGACTGGAACAGAAAGTCAACTAGAGGACAGTAATGTAATAGCAGGAATATTACAAAGGAGGCAACAAAAAGAGTATGAAAGGTTATGATAAGGATGCTGCTAAAGAAATCTGTATGCCCAATGCACACACACAAGTACTGACCAGTGCTCAATCCTCATGTTAGTACTACCAGCAGGTAACATGGTGTAGTAGTTTTGAACTTGGATGCTGGTGACACAGTATCTGGATCCAAATCCTGGTTGCAGTTGGGTAATCTGAGATGAATTATTTGTCCTCTGTGCCCCAGTTTACTTTTCAATAAAATTAATGTAAAAATGGCACGTATGGGATTGGGTTAAAAGGACTAACAGTGATATTCCAGGTGAAGCACTTAGAGCCTAGTTTTGATTAATTACCAACAAATGTTAGCTATAAAAGTGATAGCTGTATCTTAGTAATTTGTTTTCTATCCTTCACAGCAGAACTTTCCCAAACATACAAATAAACACACTCATAATACTTGACAACAGCTTTGGAAAGAACTCAGAAAAATTAATTATGTGGATTCAGATGAAGCCAAACTTATAAACTAATTGGATAATCTAATTATTGGGCAGCTATTATAGTTTCAATATACTCACCTAAAGAGGTGCAATGTGCTGTAGTAGACAGATGGCAAACTTTAGAGCCAGGTAAGGCAGGGTTCTACTTTTAGTCATGTGACCTTGGACAACTCATTTAATTTTCCCAAGGCTCAGTTTCCCAACTTTCACAATAGGGATAACAATACCTACTTTGCAAAATTGTAGATAAGCAGTAATAACCAGGAGAGTACTATGCATATCATAGGCACTCAGTTCATGGCAACTCTCATTTTTCTTAAGGGAAAGAGGCAGGCTATTGGATACAGTGAGACTAGAATATCAGAAACTTTAACACACGACAAAATCAACTCAACAAACCTTCACGCTTGCTTTGATATCCAAATTAGAAAGCTTTTGGTATAGAGTAATATTTTTAGTTTACTCAAAGTTTCTTTTGGTCACCCTGTATTTTCTTTTATTGTCTTAGACATTTAAACTTTCATAACTCCAAGAGCTTTGAAATTGAGGTCAAATAAGATTTTAAAAATCCATCCCCCAAACAAAAGCTGTCCTATGATCCTCGTTATGGAACCCTTATTATGCATCCTACACATGAGTCTTATGGCAGACCTAAATCATTAGATACACCATTACTCAGAGGATCTTACATAGCGTTAGATTAAAAAACAAAAGCAACAACTGAGTTTCAGAGGGTGAAGTAAGTTGCCTATAAAGCTAGTTAAGTTTATTGCTGATATTTACCAGGTTCTTTTGCTGTTCCAAGTAGTAAACTAAGTACTTTACATACATTATCTCATTTAATTCTCAAACTATCCCTGGAGGCAAATATTATCATTGTCATTATTTTATAGATGAGAAAACTGATTCTTAGATATGCACTATCCAAAAAGTAACCATTAGCCACATGTATTAGTCTGTTCTTACACTGCTATAAAGAAATTTTGGAGATTGGGTAATTTGTAAAGGAAAGAGGTTTAATTGACTCACAGTTCCACAAGGCTGGAGAGACCTCAGGAAACTTACAATCATGGTGGGAGGGGAAGCAAACATGTCCTTCTTCACATGATGGCAGGAAGGAGAAGTGCCAAGTGAAGGGAGGAAAAGTCCCTTATAAAACCATCAAATCTCGTGAGAACTCGCTCACTACCATGAGAACAGCATGGGGGAACCATCTCTCTAATCTAATCACCTCCCTCAAGGTCCGTCTCACAACATATGGGGATTATGGGAACTACAATTCAAGATGAGATTTGGGTAGTAGCACAGCCAAACCATATCACCACATGTGGGTATTAACATTTCAATTTAATTTAATTTAAATACAATTTAATATTCAGTCTCTGAGTTACACAGGCCAATTCTAAGTGCTCAACAGCAGCTACTGTATTTTTCAGCTCAAATTATAAAACATAGAACATCATTACAGAAAGTTCTATCAGACAGCCTGAGAGTTTAAGTAATCATGTAAGTTTACACAGCTAACACATGGTAGAACCAGGACTCAAATCTAGGAGTCATGACTCCTAAACTTGTCCTGCCATGACTAGGTCAAACAAAAAGATAAAAGAAAGTGTGTGATCAAATCTAGGTGACTATATATAAAGCAGTTTCAGGTGTTAATTGATTGAAGAATCCATTATTGGGAGGTGAAATTTTATAGATTAGCATGTTAAGATGTCTGTTGGTGACTAGAAGGTAGAAGATACAGAGGCACAAACGTTTGTAGCATGATAAGAGTGAACCAGTAGACTAAAAGAGATTAAGGAATGAAGAATTGATGGGACAAGATTGAGGTGGCCCTATGGGTGATTGACTTCCCAAGCACTTCTGGTCGTCAAATACAAGCCTCAGAGAGTAGGCAGAGATGATTCACTCAACTCATCAAATGTCTCTTCTAAACCAAAAATCCAGGATTGTGGTAACACCATTGTTCAAAAGTTTGTTACTTCAGACAACTGGTTCTTAATTGGGAGCCATTTTGACCCCAAGGGTACATTTGGCAGTGTCTGAAGATATTCTTTGTTGTCAAGACTGGGGTTACATGCCTCAAAGGAGAAAACAGAGAATTACCATATCTTCCAGCAATTTCACTTCTAGGTAAATACCCAAGAGAATTGATAGTAGGAATTCAAGCAGATATTTGTATACCCATGTTCATAGCCATATTTTTCACAATAACCAAAAGGTGGAAGAACTCAAGTGTCCATTTTCAGATGAATGGATAAACAAAATGTGGGATATATATACAATGGAATATTATTCAGCTATAAAAAGGAAGTTCTGACACATGCTACAAGATGAATAAACCTTGAAAACATTATGCTTAGTGAAATAAATCAGTCACTAAAGGACGAATATTGTATGATTTCACTTACATGAGGTACCTAGAGTATCAAATTCATAGTGACAGAAAGTAGGATGGTAGTTACCAGGGGCTGCAAGTAGGAGGAAATGAGAAGTTATTGTTTAAACATGTATAGAGTAGTTTCAGTTTGGAAAAATAAAAATGTTCTAGAGATGGCTGGTGGTGATGATTGCACAACAATTTGAATGCATTTAATGCCACTGAACTGAGTGAACTGCATACTAAAAATTATTAAATGGAAAATTTTATATTTTATATCTATGACCCCAATTTAATAAAAAGACTGGGGGGGTGCTACTAGCATCTAGTGGGTAGAGGTCAAATATCCTACAATGCACAAGCCAGTTCCTACAACAAAATATTTTCAATAGTGCTGAAGTTGAGAAATCTTGCTTTTACAAAATACTGAAAGAACAACAGTAAGAGACTGTCCAACGATAGTGGTCTTTTCACTCTTAATGCTGTTAAGATATATATATATCAGATATAAGGATATAAAACATGATATATAAATCATATGAGAGATAATTATAAGATATATATAATTAAAACATATATATATCTTATAATTTCACTAACAAAGTCTGAAACTATATAAGACTTCCCATATTGGCATGAATACGTCACATTTTGTTCTATTCCCAAGTCTATCCTATGCATGTGCAATAATAAACTTTCTTAGCAAGGGTGTATTGTTTCAGTACATATTGATCTAAATGTATGTAATCTGATTGAAATACTTAGGAAAATCATAAGTCTTCTAAAGCTGTTTTTTCTACAAATAAAAGGGCATCATGGTTTTTAAAACTCTTTATTTCTCCTGTTTAATATCATAGAGAAATCTCAATGATGAAGAATCATTTTGCCACTGCTGCTTATACTATCATTTAAAAGGGAGCAATGTCTCCTGTTAAATAACTAAGGCAAATTCAAACTTGAATGCACAATGACAATAAAGAAAAATTATTCTTTACATTTTCTATCTATGAGGCCACTGGATCAATGGCCTTTCAATTCAATCAAATGCTGTAAACCTCCAATGTGGTCCAGCAATCAGTGAGTCTTATTAGCATTTACAAGAAGCTGAGCAGCTTATTTGATTGAAAATGATTGAGGCAATTCTGTATGTGTGTGTTGGGCCACAGCATTTGATAACAGGTTAAATCTAATGAAAAAGGACTAGAGTTTGAGAAACAATGACCCAGAGAAATTTTTCAGTATTTTATTAATTTATTATTTATTTATTCCTCAATTTTGTTCTGGAAGAGGTTTAAGGCAGCTGTAAGTATTTTTATAATCTGCAGACTCTTGTCTTATGTTTGTGAATATTTTATAGACTGGGTGCTAAATACTAAATTATTAAAGATCATTTTTAAAAAAAAAGAAAAAGAAACAGAGCAGCCTAATATCTTCTAACTCCAGTGAATTACTTTATCTTGAAGACTATTAGCAGACAAGATGGTACATTTTACTTGCAATTCATTTGTATTCAAGGATACTACTACTATAGAAAATTGCTTATTTAAGTAGAATAAAATGTGTTCTGAGTGGACCCTGACTGGTATTTTTACTTTCTGACTTACATCTGCCCTTCTGAAAAACACTCCAATTTCTTTTCTGAGAATTTCCTTCCCTCCATGTTATTGTCTTAGTGGGGGTGATAAATCCAGGTGCTAGAAAATCATGCCTTCCTACTGGGGAGTCACTGGAGCTGCTGGGGGCTCTTTCTACCAACTCTTCCCTGCATCACTCAGGTACAAGCAGGAGTTAGATTTACAGTCTCAGCTTGGTGTGTGGATATGCTGTCCAGGACTTCGAATCTTAAGCAAGTGATACAAAGATTGAAGAGACATTTGGAGTTGAGTCAACCTGGTGGCAGTAGCACAACAACACTACAAATGCTATGAGATATTTCTCTAGTTCTTGATTCCGAGCTTTCTCACTCTTTCTTCTTTTATTCCTGCTTCCTACCCAAGTGTTCCAATTACTATGGCTGTGTAACAAACCACTCTCAACTTACTGGTTTAAAACAATAACAATAATAAAATCTGTCTTGCTCAAGACTGCACTCTGGGGCAGGGTTTTAGCAGGGACAGCTCAGCAGAGGCAGCTTGTTTCTCTTCTATTCATTTTCACATAGGGTGGCTCAGAGGCAGGGGCTTGAAGGCTTGCTTAAATGTCTGGCGCCTGGACTGGGAAGACTCGAACGGCTGAAGACCAGAACAGGTGGGGCCCCGTGAGCATCTCTCATAATTTTAAATGGCTTATCCAGCATGGTCGCTGGAGGGTGGCTGGACTTCTTAAATGGCAGCTCAGGGATCCAAAGATCCGTGCCCCAAGAGAGATCAACACAGAAACTCTTATCATTTTTTAAAATGACCCAGCCTCTGATGTTATATCGTGTCATTTCTGCACCACTCTTTTAATTGAAGTACTGTAGAAGTCCATTCAGGTTCAAGGGCAAAGAACATAAACTCACCCACCTCTCAATGGTGTACAGACAATATCACACTGTAAGAAGAACATGTGGGACAGGATATATACTAGTACGATAATCTTTGGAAAATTTCACCCACCACATCAAGCCTTCTGATTGATGTAATCTTGTTAATTTTCAGTAAACTTTCTGTTGCTGATCTTAGCCAGGGTCAGATTCTATTACTTATAACTAAAGAATCCCAATCTAATAGAATAAGGATCTGTTTTATTAAACCCTTGACAATTAATTGCCACTTTAATGTTGGATATTTCATTAACATCACCATCGAGAGGTTGGTACTTATTCATTAATTAATTAATTACTAGACATACCTGCGTGACTAGGAAGAAGACTTTGCTTCACTGGTGAACGACTGCAACTGCTTTGTCAAGTTTCACTCCATTGCTGCAAAATAGGCACGATTATAAGCAAAGAGCTGAGGCAGAGAAAGGTTATTTGGTTTATCACAGATGGCAATGGGGAGTGCATTGCTTCCAGAAACAGACCCAGAAGTTTTCATTCCCTGGGCCAGGCTGGAACTATTAAATCACATAGAAATACCAGGAAAAGATAAGCTACATGAACCAGTGATTGCTAAACTAAACACTCTAGTGACTTCAAAGAGCCCTTAGGGCCTGCTGTTTATTTGGAATACCAGAAAAAAAAAGTGGTGAGAGAATGGTAGAATAGAAGCCCAGTTTATGATTTTATCTTAACCAGGCTAGTTTGAAGAATTTACATATTAGGGGTGCATGGGTTTATGTGTGCGTACATATATGTTTGTGTGTGTTTATAGTCCTTTAATCTTTCTAAAAAAGCTTCAGGACATGTGTGTATGTATTTTAAATTAATGTATATTTCAAAAAATATTATCAGTCAGTCATCAAAAAATCCTCCTAAAGATCCTCAAAAGATCCTTTTCTCCTAAAAAGAAAAGAATTTTGACATAAAAGCACATGAATATCAACAATACAGTTTAGAAAAAAAATCAGATGAGATAATTAATATGTAAAATGTGATATTGCTTTATTAAAGATGAAAATAAATAAATAAATAAATAAATAAAATAATGGAGTGAGGGACTAAGTTTATTGTTTCTAGGAACATTCCATTCCTCCTTCTGGGACTTATAAGTCAATTTTCCTCAGATATCAGAATGTTCTAGAAGATTTTTAAAAACCTAATTGTTTGATTGACCACCTGTACTTCCAAACTCTTTTTATTGATAACACTGTTGGAGGTAAAAGAGAGAAAGAAAATATATGCCTATGATTCTAGCCACTGGTGTTTTTCAGGATTTAATTTTTACCTTTAAGTGTTCAAATATTATATTTCATCTACTTTCAATCTCTCTTTTTCTAACTCCATTTCCACCTCTTTTACTTTTGGTTCTTTTCCAGAGACCACTCTTTTCAGTGACAGACATCTCCATGAGCTGTTCTTTGTGACCACCAGCTGTGTTGTGAGAACTGTTTTGGTCTTGCTTTTCTTCATGCCTGTCAAAGGCCACAGAGTGTTGAAGCCTGCAAACGCAGCCTGAATCAGCACGGACCCCAGAGACTTTCAACAGCATCTCAATAAAACTTTCAATTATCTCCATTTTATACACAGTATTTCAGTTGTGGGTGACACACTTCGTCTGAACAAAATTATATTAAATAACACCTTGAATGAAAAGGTCCATTCAAACAGAGAAATAATACAGAGAATTATACCCAATATCTTGTTTTTTATTATACATTATGAATAAAATCACTACTAAAAGCCAAGAAAAATCATCAATGTTCTTTTTAGAATCACAAATGTCCCAACAACCTTTGATTTGAAAACCCCTTGTGGCCTAAGCACCTTAAGCTATCTTGCAGAAAATTCTATGTGTGTTAAAACACTTGCAGGGACTACTTTTCCAAAGAAATGATTATTAAAGGACATTAGTGAAACATCTTTATATTGACTAATTTTAGAGCTATCCGTTCACTCTTTATTCTTTGCATGTGTTTATCTTGTTTTATTAGCAACTTGTTGCTAGATTCTGATGTGTTAATTCTTAGCTACAGTAAGGTTGTTTTAAATGTTATGTTTACTATGATATTACTTAAAAAAAAGTTACATTTTCGCCTCTGTGTAAGCACAGAGCTGGTGAACTAAACAACATACATAACTCTCAATCTATCATCTGCATTCCCTTTGCATTAGGTGTAACACTGGCACAAAAATCAGAGCCCCAGCTCCAATTTTTCCAGCTGTCTCTGTTGCCCTGTGATCTTTTGGTACAAATTTTCTAGCCTGTTTGAAAAGGCAGGCTTCTACCCCCTTCTTTGATTGTACTTAGGCATTTTGCCAGCCTGCGACATGGATTAATATGAACAGAATCACAGACTTTTCTGAACACTAGTCATTTACGTGTGTTTAGTAGCATATACCCAGCAAGAGAAAGGCAGGCTGCCGTTGCCTTTGTATAGAGTCTGGGTAGGTTTTGATTTCACTCAGAGTCAAGAACAAAGCAACCTCTGACTTTTCCTCAAACTCAGCCCGTATGGAATGACTTTTAATGACTTCACGAACTGCTAGCCTTCAGATGACTGGAGTGTTTTTTGCTTCTTAAGTTTTTCCTTCTATGACGTTTTATGATTATACCTTATGGTGCAGTTCTATTTTTGTTCTCATGTGTTTCTGAGTGCTTAAAGTCTAGAGGAAAAATTTTTTAACTCATTTGGCTCCCATGAAATGTGCTTTTCAGTTTGGGGATAACGTGGAGAGAAGCTTTAAGTACTGTGCCAATACCAAACATGGCATTCCCTATTAATGAGCCAATTCCATCCCCTGAGTCTGAATAATTTAGAGAAGACGTGATGTCATTGTCTCCTTAGAGATAAATGGAAAGGAGTCTGGGTGTAGAATTTTTGAGTGGTCTTTATAATAATAGTAATTAAAAAACATTACCTCATATATTTAAACTTTGTGTGCACACCATGTGCTTTTCTCATTTTTTACCCAATATTACTCGTAAAGGACTAGTATTCCTGTTTCATTATTTTTGAAGCACTGTTTGATGACACTGGTTTAACAGTTTCTCACAGTTCACTGCTTCAGTTTTCATCAAATCATATTTCTAGTTACACTAGACACTTTCATCATCAATTTCCATATGCCTCAAAGACATGCAAGGACCAATTTGCCAACAAGTGAATTCAGATACCAGATAATAGCTGCTGTAGATTACATTTTTCTCTTACTATAGCCTTTTCTAAAATGAAAAGTTTATAACCCACCAGGCCAACCCCCTAACAACCAAACACACCATATTTGTTTAACTGGATTAGCCTGGGTCTATGGTGAAGTTTCAGGATTATGGCAAACTATTTAGTTTCGATGTGCAAATGTTATGATAAGATGAACAATGGCTGTATATACTTCCATACAGTTCATATCCCAGTTAATGGAAAAGCAGCAGCCATACAATTTGCCAAAGAACTGCCAAGTTCAAAAGAATTCTAAAATCCCTTCTCTCTTAAATTCTACAACTTTTCTGTGTTCTGTCTGTCACGTCTTGAAGCTCCCATTGTCAAATGCCACAGATTAGGGCCCATAGTAAACTCCAGATAATTCTGAAGCATGCAAATAAGTTTTATATCAATAATTGTTGATAAAGTTTAAATATCAGTCACCATTTTTCAACAAACTTTCAACTTGTTTTGCTTATGACTTTAAACAGCGTAAATAAAAACTGTCTATAGCTGGCAAAACATATTATCTTCAATTTGTTTTTTAGAACACTGTTTATGCCTTAAAGGAAAAGAACTAATATAATCAGTGCTAAACTCATGGGAAACTAAATGAAAAGCTTTTCCTCTTTCAAACATCAACTCAATCAAACTCCAAAATATGAATATCAGAAGAGTTTTCTTAATATGCTTTAGAATTACTGAATCTTTTAAAGTAATCTCTATGATTATAGCATGTGTGCAATATCCTGAAATGCAATATAGACTGTTGGGTTATTCTGAACTCATGACATTCATAGCACTTTTTAAATGAAAGTTAGATTCATAAAAAGATGGAATCATAAGAAATCATAAAAAGATGTGTAACAACGTGGGAAGATGTTCAGTGTTTTATTCGGTTGAAAATACAGGCTACCTAGGGGATGGGATATGACGAAGAAAGAGGGGTAACTTTTACTTCTTAATTACTTCTGTATTTAATTTATTTACAATGACTGTGTATTAAAATTTTTAAGTGGATTATAACACTGTATAATAATTGATATGTATCAGACATTATTCTAAGTACTTTAAAAATATCAACTTAATTTTTGTAACAACTCCATGAAGTAGATAACTTTAATATTTCTCTTTTACAAATGAGGAAACCAAGACATAGAGGGCTTAAGTAACTTATCCGAGGTCACGCAGGTACTACGAGGCAGAGATGGGATTCAAACCTTTCTCTGCTTTTGATATTCCACTATTGTTCCATTTCTGTGAAATACATTTGACTGAAAAACTACATTACAAAATGTTAACAGTGGATATTTCTGAGTGACATAATTATGGTTAATTTCTATTTTTTTATATTTTGCTTGTCTGTATTTTCCAGTTTTTCACAAAACAATCAATAGAGTGCTTTTGAAAAGAAAAAAAATCTTTTTAAAGTTCCCTTTGTACTAAAGCATGAAATAGGGATTTGGATGTAGCACTGTGATTTTTTTTTTCAACTGCTCTCCAGTAAACCTTCCTTTTATTTTATGCATCTAGTAGAACGTGTGCCCTAGATCTTGGCTATTGAACTGTTCTCTTGTGTGTAGATTTTACTTTGTTTACAGTTGGTCACTATGGGGAGTAATGAGAACAGAAGAAGAAATTGATAGAACTTTCAAAATGCAGAAATATCAAGAAAGGAATAAAGTCAGAAAATATAGTTGTCATATATTAGTCTTAAAATTTCTGAACATATTTCTATCACATCTTTCCTTAGCAGTCTGAGTTGCTGAGCAGGGCCATAGTAACTTAGCTTGTATCCATAAGGAAACAGCCACTGGAGTATCATCCTTACCATGGACTTTTCAAGGCTGATGGGGTCCACATGCAACAATCCCTGCACCAAGAGAATAATATTCTCATTTGTAGTTGGCTTCTTGTGTTGCCTCGAAAGGATATCTCTTTCTTTGAAGATCTGAATAAAAAAGCGACCACTTTTGTTAAGGATCTCTTAGAATAGTACATGGAATATTAAGCAGTTCAATTATATTAAACTGGTACTGATGAGGACAGATATGGAAGTGATGTAGCATTCAAAAACTTTAAGGAAAAACACAAATACACTTGCCTCTTGCAATTACATCTCATATGAAATAAGAACAAGTTTGTTTGTGTGCCAAAAATAGGTGTGGGGCATTGAAAGGAGGATAAAGTGAGTTCTAGGATCTGTAAGTCTGAATAAAGTTAGTGACATTTTATACCAGTGCTGTATTTAATGCCACAATTCTTCGTGAAACACAGAATCCCAAGAAGTGTGTAAAGGATAGGATGAAGATGGCTTAGAGACATAGGGAGGCTGGAGTGTGTGTGGAATTAGATGCTTCAGAAAATCATTAGGTGATTATGGCTCTCAACCTCTCTGGCTGGGTACCACAGTGCTGTTAGCCAGTAGTTCCAGATTCCAGTAATCTTTGTTGCTCTTATGTAAAATGTATTCAAATCTCTTCTATTCATTTCTCTCTAGGTATCATCTTCTACTCCAAAACTGTCCTGGCTAAGGCTACCATCAACTCCAACCCAGTGACAGCAATAGCTCCCAAAGGTCTCCCTGTGTTCAGTCTAGTTCCCTAAAATCCGTTTTACAAAATGGGGTGAATGATCTTTTCAAAATACTAATCTAATCATGTTACCCTTTCCAGTTGAATTTTTTAAACAGCTTCCCGTTGCCCTCAGGATAATATCAAACATCTTAAACAGGGCCTTACTGTGACCTTCAAATATCTTTGGCATGACCTTGTGGTTCTGGCCTCTACCTACACATCCAGATGAATCCCAGACACTTCTTGCACCATACAAATCTTCACTCTCAGTACCTGGCCACACTGGCTTCTCTTTTTCCTGCGACCTCTTTATATTCCTTTCCTCCACTAGGAAGGTCTTCACTCAACCCCAGAGGAGAAAAGGTTTCCCTGCTTTGTTTTCTTTGCACGAGGGGCCTCTCCTTTACACAGCCATAATTTGCATTCATTTATGTGATGCTTTAAGTCACTGTCTCCCATCCCCCTGAGATTGTATACTTAATAATGTGGAAAGAACTCTGCTTTTTTTACATCATTAGACCATAAGCATGGTTTAAGAACTATGCCCCACACAGAGCAGAGCTTAAAAATATTTGTTGAATACTGAATCAAGCCATTACATTAATAATATAGTGAGAAAAAGGTTTTATATTCTGCTGGTCTCTCAAACTCAGTTTTAAAAAATTGTATCCATTCATTGATTTATTTTTGCTGAGAAAGAAAGTTACATTATATATTGCTTTCTTGAAATACAGATATCTTATGCTAGATTGCCAAATTGAATTATTAAACTTGGAAATGCTCACATACCTTTTCTTTACCAGGTTTTAATGGGGTTTCTATACTGCTCATCTTTCAAGAGAGATTATTTTGAGTTTACTTCAATGAGAAAGCTCTTTTCCACCATGACAAGCCTATCCCAAGTACGACAAAATTTTACCATTTTCCCAAAATTGGGACCATGACATGGGGAAAGACTCAGCAAGCATTAATTGATTTAAAATGAGAAAAGAACTTTTATTGAGGAATGTGAGTCCTTTTAAATTATCAGGCCTAGAAAGACATTAAAATGAGACAGCAAGTCCATCCTAACCCCCAGCTTTTGAGCTATGTATTCATCTCTTGAAATAGCTTGTTATTGTCCCTAGCAGCTATAAATTAACTAATAATGCTGCACTGGAAACTATAACTCACAGCCTATAGCTTAACAATGTCTAGCCAACCACTAATCAATGCTTTTCTGTAAACCAATGAGAATTCTTTACAGAGAACTTTGTGTCAGCCTACTCCCTGTCCCCCATATTTGGCTTTAAAAATTTGCTTGTAACAAAGGCCAAAGGAAGCTCATATCCAATGTTACCTGGGTGTGAATCTTCCAGGCAGTTGTCCTCACACTTTGGCTCAAGTAAACTCTTTAAATTATATTTTGTGCCATAGCCTATTCCCTTTAGGTCAACACAGAGATTATGGATGTCTGTTAGAATGGTTACTAACACTAAGAACACATGAATCCAGACTCAGTATCATGTTCAGACTTTTAAAATTAATTATTGCATAAATAATTTTCATCTGATTTCTTGATACATGCTAGATATTGGCTAGTAAGTATGTTAAGAATTTGTGAGTGTTTTGCTAAATTTTAAGATTCTTCCCCAATGCTTGCTACTTAAGCTGCAGGCAAAACTGAATTAAATTTAGCCTTTCTAAGATGATAATGAGCATGACATTTATTTTATGAAATGAAATTTGATCAGTTCTAGTGTTTCCTGATTCTTTTTTTTTTTTTGACCCATAAACATTTTTACTGGTTAACCAAAGAAAATTTTCAATACAAAGTACCACCCTTGAAAAAAAATCATATATTTATTTTGAGGATTTCAAAAAGGATCAATCAAGGAATTAGATTAATTATATAAGTTTCTTTTGAGAATGGCTTGATACATTTCTGTACATTTTAAGGAACAAGTTTTACTTGGAATTCTTTTTATTGTGGCATCCTGCTGTATTTAAAAAGAGGGCTGCCTTTAAATGGACATGATACATAACAAGCTTGTCTCTCTATAAGAAAATTAATTTGTAAAACAGTCTTAGGATTATTCCATATTTCTAAAGGCATTAGCAAGACCTTTAAAATGTGCTATTTTAACTCCTTGGGAAGTCCTTAGCTCTTATCCTACAACACTGCCTCATGACATCACTTCCTCTCCCACAGATCTGGTGTGGATTTTTCTTAATTCTGTATTTGCCTCATTCACTGGTGTGTTCTCTTCTTTACTTTCTCATTTATTGACCCACACAGTCATTTAACAACTATTTCCAACATAAAGATAAAGAACTCAAAGAAATATAGGACATTGTTATTCAACTTGGAGGGGTCATAATAAAAACATTTGAATGAACATAAGAACTGTGAGAATTCAGAAAAATAAAATAGTTTGTTGAGTTTTATTTTCTAATTACATCATAGTGGTAGTTCTATTAAGAGGCTCTGATTTCTGATAATATACATCTTAGCCTTTGCTGTAAAATGATAGAAATGCTTACAACTTACAGAAAAAAAGAAATAAAATAGTTGCTGTTTGTTCCTGCAGTTAGACTGGTACATATCATTTCAATGAAATTATTCAATAACATGCAGTAATTTCAATGGATTGCTTTTTAGAAGAAGAACCACAGTATTGAACCAAGTTTTAAGTCATACACATCTCTGAAGTACAGGAAAACCTGTTCTCATAGGGAAGATGAAAGCCAACTCCAAATAAAGTATTGAGCTTTCAAGGGAAGCATCATTTTCTTTCCAAGCTTCCACCCAAAGTTCTCCCACGCTCCTCTTTCTCATTTTCTTTCCTAAATGCATTCTGAAAAGATAATTTAAAAGGTATTGCAGTGGGCTATCAGGAAGCATATTTACCAGTTCCTTCAATGAAATCACTGGGGAAAGGGTCCAGCTTTGAATTCCATTAAAAGAAAAAAATTGTAATATTTCCTTGAAGCCAATCATAAACTTAGTATTTGATTTTCATCCTTCTTTTCTTTTCCATTATACACAATAAAAGTTGAATTTAACAACAACAACGAAAATGGAACTTATAGACTCACTTATCTTTAAAAAAAAGCTGAAGCTTATAGGATTTAAAATTTGATATAATGAGGTAACATTTCAAAGCTTATATGGGAGATGGGATAGACATGGTTCACATCCAATAATTTTAAATTAAGCTTTTAGTGTAGGTAGCTGTATTTGTAGACAATATGATTTAACAAAATGCAATATGTTCAAATCCACGTAAAGAGAATTATTTGAAAAGTGAGTGTCTTTTTGTTCCTGGTTTATTATTTAAATTCATTTTCATATCTCCAGCTTGCTAGTAGCCTAATGAAAATAAAATTTCATAATCCAAATATAACTTGGTCACTATTGGATAATTGATCTATCAGCAGGTTGACTTCTTCCAGCACTACAAATTACAATTTTAAGCCTTTTTACCTCAATTTTCCCCACTCAGTAAAATGGTATACAAATTTCCATCAACTTTGTAATGGATAACCCACTTGATTTTTTATGGCATTAAGTATCCTGTAAAATGTACCACTAAAGTAGAAAGCATTATTATTTACTGTCTGGGTGCACATATTTAGATTCAGAATCATGTTCAAACTAGTTTGTCTGTTTTGTTTGACTGCAATTTTTTTTAAAGAAGGAAACCACAGAAATTATTTGGCTGGTGATGCTTTTTTTTTTTTGAACTGATTAAATCAGCCCAAATCAGTCTAAAAATTCAAACTATTAAGATATGAGGAATGTAGTACTCAGTCACAGAGTAAAGGAAACAAAACCAAGCATTTCTTCAAAAACGTGATTCTAGTCAGTGTTCGCTGATGGGCTAGAAAACAAAAGAAAACAAAATTTAAAGGTGCCTCTATGCCCCCATCTTTGGCATCCTTTAATGTCAATGTCACTTGTTCTGATTTGTGCTGGGCAAGGAAAGACACTGTCCTTTCCACCCCAGCACATTTGACAAGCACTGACACTCTGGGCATGCTGTAAAATAAAATAAATACATTAGTAAGACCATTTCCCTTTTCATTTCAGCCTAGGCATAAGAGATGGGTTACTTAAAATTCAAGTGCCAGGAAAGCCCATTGTAAAAGGGAAATATTTTCAAGTGAATTCCGTTTGATCTTTTTTTATAGGGGCTCCTACAAGCCTCTCTCCCTTCCTCCCCAGACCCTGGAAACCAATTAGTCTCAGCACAGAGGCCACAGACCAGGTTGCAATGGCTCCTTTTTATTTTTAGGGGGTATAATTTCAGCCAGGATGTCTAGTCAGTTGTCACATAGTATACTTAGCACACTTCTCTCTCACACACATATATATACATTGGATTTCCCTTCAGAGAATGCACAGATCTTTCAGTCTGACTCCTAGAAAGGAATTAGATCTGGTTGCTGTCCCAATCTTTCAGCAATGACAATGGCATAACATCACAGGGCCACCTCATCTTTCACAGACAACCCTGCCAACCAAGTTTTCTAAAAGCCTTCTCTCCCTTGTTTTCTGTCTTCCAGCATTTCAGCGGCATTTCCTTTCCTTGTGTTGTTTGTACAAAATTCTGAAAACCTTTTCTTCCATTTTCCAAAGTAGCAGACAAAACTGGACTAAGTTTGATTTTTAAAATGCTTTTGACATGCTTATCTTTTGGGGAAAATTTTATCCAAAAGACGAAAATGGAAACAATTAGAGTCTTTGCCTCTCCTCACCTTCCTGTCCTGAATCTGCCTTAATTCATGGAGGTAAAAAAAATGATCAGCTGGGTTGGCCTTTTCTTTCTCAGCAACATTGCAGAGAGAAAGAGGTGAGTGTGTGAGTGAGTGAGTGAGCGTGTGTGTGTGTGTGTGTGTCTGTCGTGTTGAAAGGCTTGGGGAAAAAGGAGCACAGCTCTCCCCCAGGAAAGCCTCAGATCAGCAGATGGGAGGGAACCTAGGGTCGCCTTCCTAGGTCTGAGCGAAGTGTCCCAGCCGCTCCCCTTACCCCTGCGGTGAGCCCTGCGTCCTGGAACGGTGCCAGGACTCCTGACAGAGCCTGGCAGGTCGGTGGGTGGCGGGGAGCTGGGTGTTCTCTTTGCAGAAGAACACCATTTGGGAGAAAGCTCCCTTCTTTTCCTGGGGCACCGTAGCCCGCCTTCCTTCCCCTATCATTTTTTACGCAGATCGCACTCATGATGATGAACTTGCAGCTCAGCTTCCTGCCGCCTGCTTGACCCGGGAGCACCAGCAGGCTACCGGGCCTCGCCCTCGGCTCCCTCCTCCTCTCGAAACCCTGGGGCTTCGGGGCACCGGTGGGGGTCCGAGTGGGCAGGGACTGCGGGAGGGGCGTGCAGGGGCGCGGGGTCCCGCCGGGGAGCGCGCACGGAGCGGCGCCTCGGCCGCCCTGCTTCCTGGAGCTGTGCTCCTTTGACCCCAGTGGCAGTCCCTGTCACTGCACCGCTCGCTCTCCCTCCGGCTCGCCGCGCCCTCGCTCCCTCTCCTCGCCCCCTCGCTCGCTCTCTCCCCAGATCGAGGCTGCTCGGGTCCTTTCTCCCCCCGCCTCCCTCTAGCGCCGCGCCCCCTGGCCCCCAGCCCCAGCCTGCGGCGGGACCTCCGGGGTCGAAGGTTCTGGCCCGCTCGCGCCCCTCGCCGCCCCCGCGCGCCCCCAGCGCTCCTCCAGCCGGCTCGGGCCGCTCGGCTATGGATCGCCTGCTCGCCGGGCGCTGAAGGCATCCCCGGGATCCGGAGCGCAGCCCGGGAAAGGTAATCCGCCCCGGGAAGGGAGGCGGAGGGCGGGGGAGGGGGAGGAGGCGGCCGGGAGCCCGGTGCCGAGCACTAGAGGAAGGGAAAAAAATGCACACACAAAGCGGAGCCCGGGTGAGAGGTGCCTTGTCAGAGGCGCGTGCGAGGGGCTCGGAGGCTGCGGACCCGGGCTGCCCCGGTGCCCCTGACATCCGCACGAGCGGGCGCCTCCCGGGCAATTCGGCGCTCGGGGAGGGCTGATTTTCAACCCCTGAGCGAAAGCAAATTCTTTTTTAGGAGGTGTCTTCCCTCCGACTCCCCATCCTGCGCCTCTTCTCTTCTCCACCCCCTCCAGCCATCAGTCCCCCGACCTCTGGGGGTCCCCACCTCTTCGCTCCCTCCTCCGCCAGGATTTCTTAGGAGGAGAGGAGGGGGTATCGGCGAGAAGCTGGGGAAGCCGGGCGGCGGGGATGGGGGTGGGGACGAGGGCTCAGCGAGCTGTTTACTAGAAAGTCCCGGGGTGATGTGTTCGAGCCGCCCCGGCCTAGGCCTGGGTGCATTGTGTTGGCCCGATCCCCGGGCTCCCGCGGCGGCCCGAGGCCAGGTGCAGTGACGAGGGGAAGGCACCGCGCAGCTTTGTGCTCCGGCTGCGCCCCGCGGCCGCCCCCGGGGCCGCCCGCGCGCGCCGCTCTCGCTCGGGGCTCTTTCTCACCCCGTCCCCGCGCCCCAACCTCACTCTCCGCCGCTGCCTGGGTCTCCGCGCTCGCAGCCTGCGGAGCGACCCGGCGACCCAAGCTGGGGTCGAGGCTAGGCGACGGGGGACGAGTACCGAGGAAAAGTAACCGTTGCCGCCGGATTTCTTCTCTACAGAGGCAGGAGTTTCTTTGCTATTTACGTATAACAAGGTTATCTTTGTAAAGCCTTTGAATTCCGGGGTTTTGCGGCCTAGGAGGTGAAGGGGGCATTTTTCTAGAGGCTCAGGAGCCGGTTGGAATCCGTCAGCAAGAAAATAAATTAAGGATGCCCCAGTGAAGTTGATTTATAATAGTACATCACCACCCCCCTCTCACACACACACCCCAAATTAAGTGCAAATGCGGGTCATGAAAAATGTATAATTGATTTGAGATGCTGCAAACAAACACAAACAGGTCGGGGGGGTGGGACAAACAAAAGTTTAAGTGAAAAAAGATGTCAGAAGAGGGGGAGATCCCGTGGCCTCCACACCCCCTTCCAACGCTCGCTGGCTCCCTCCCTTCCTTTCTCCGCCGTTCCAGGGAAGGAACCTGGCAGCGCCCAGGCGTAGAGCAGGGAGGAGGCGGCGGCCCCGGGCTCGGGCTCAGCGCTGTGGGTTCGGGGATGCCAACGCGCCCGGGAGGCTGAGGTCGGGGACGTGGGGCTGTGATGCCCGACCGAGGATGGCGTGGTGTCAGAGCCATTGGCCGCCGGTGGTCATCAATCAATCCAGAGCTAGGGAAGAGGGAGAGAAAAAAGATAGGCGTCCAGCGGAGCCCGGGGCCGCCAGCGCTAGCGCCAGCAGTGCCAGCAGGAGCGGCGGCCGAGGAGGTGACGGAGGTGGCAACGGGGGACTGAGCGAGTAAGGCGCTGGTGTTTCAGGAAGGAAGGGGAAGTTGTAGCCGGGAAGAGCCAGCCGTGAGCCTAGAAGGGCAGGGCGAGTGTATGTGGTGTGTGTGTGTGTGTGTGTGTGTGTGTGTGTGTGTAGTTCATAAAGCACCCCCCACCCCGCCTCGCGCAACTGCCCACCACCCTAGATTTAAAACAAACAAACCAATCCAAAGTAGAGAATTCCGCGCCCCCCACCGCCCCACCTTATATAGACTCCACGAGTTGCCAGAGGCTCCGGAGAAAAGTCTTGCCCTCCCTCTCCGAAAGAATGTGTCACCCGGGTGTCCGCAGTGCTGGAGACAAGTTCAGGTGTAAGTGCGGTGGGAGGGAGGGCGCTCGGTGGACAGAAGCACGTGGAACTTTATGTCAGCCTCCCCCAAAAAAACCCTGGCGGAGAAGCCCGCCGGGAAGGCGTGTGGGCATCGCTCCCAGATACAGGGATGAGTAACTGGAAGTGGGCATAAAAGAGTAGGGGCGTGAATTAAGAACGCACTGGATCTGCGCGGCAGAGGGAGGAGAGAGCGAAATTTGGCGGATTTGGAGCAGGCAAGTTCCAAAGTCCCGCCAGGCTCGGTCTGGAGATCTTGGGGCAAGTGATTAAAATGAGCATCCTTGTTGAAACGAGAAAACCGCGGGCTCTTTTCTCATAGGCTGTGCTGGGCAGTGCAGGGGTAGAGAGGTCATGAGTTGTTGCTTTGAAAGTTTTGGTAAATTGGACTTCTGGTGTCTAGGAGGTGGAGACAGTTATTTAATTCCTCAGCTTTTAATCCCTTCATTGCCAGCCGACTTTAAAAGGTTTTCCAACTAGATTCCTGGAAAAGAATATTGCTAGTTGTACAGCTTAAAGGACAGAAGTGATTGCTGTCTAGGAAATGCAAAATGTACTCACATGATTTTCTTTTTAAAGAGAAAAATCAAACTAGCACCAGCATGAATGTTTGGCAGTGTCAGTCCCTTTTAGATTTTTCTTTCGGCTTCTTGATATTTCGTCCTGGGTTCCTTTGTTTTGTGGAAAGTGTGTTGAAGTATAAAATGAAAATTTATGAAAAGAATAGTGCTGTCTTTAAATATTGTGTGTAAAAAGTTAAAGTAAGTGTGAAGAGGGTGAGATGCACGAAAATCTGATCATTTGGAAGGTTTTACTGCCTAAATATACATCTTCTTGATAGTTGTAAGCAGTGTATCCTTCTGTCTTGTTTCAAGCTCTCTCCAAATTTCTCAGGTTATAGGAAGTGGTTTTGTCTATTGTCCCTTGTCTCTGAGAGTTTACCAAAAAAAAAAAAAAAAAAAAAAAAAAAAAAAGAAAAAGTCTTTTCCAGGTGTTTGTGTTTAAAATTCTTAAGATGTGTTCATTTTGAGATACGGGTGGGGATGAACATAGCATTTTAAAAAATAAGCCTTTTCTTGACTTGTCTGTAAAGGTGCTGTGAAAGTTTTGAAGCTCTCTGCCTCAGTCTGACATTTTCTTCAAAGGACTCCAGATTAAAGAAGATAGACGCTGCAGGTGCACTGTTTCGATGAAACATTTGAAAGGGAACATGGCAAAGATGAATTCAAATGAGGTGCCAGCCACCCATTTAGCCTTTCAGAGTTACAGGGGCCTGTGCTTGCTGATGAAAAGATGTTCTATTTGTCTTACTGGGGCAAAGGTGCAAAGAGGCATAGATGTTCAGTGATAGAGAAGGTTGACATTAGGATCAAGCGGACCATGTAGAAGTGCAAATTGATCAGCTGCTAAATTCTGTCTCTTCTTAGCTTCAAATAGTAGAACTTGGGTGGGTATCATGCTAACTGCTACAAGTCATTACCTAGATGTTTAAATATTAGGTATGTATATTTTATTTCTAGGCCACATTTGCTTGGTTTAATTAGTGTGTTTACTCCAGAAACATTTAAAATCTTTCTAGTACTGGGTGCAGAGATTGTTACTCAGAGGTCACAGCGGTCTAGACATGAATTTGATTTCCTTTGCTTCTTAATGTTCAGTATTTCACACAATAGACATTGATGGAAGAATGAACATAAGAATTGTCAAGTAATTTTTACACCACTCTCTAATTTATGCAAACACTAACTTCTCACAGTCTGAAAATGTGAATTTTTCCCCCTCTGTGCTTTGATGGCTAACATTCTTTTTAATGACAGTCATTTCTATAACAGGAAGATGTTTTCATTTGTATTTACTTTTCAGCGCGACGCAATTATGCAGTTTTGCGCTTCAGTAGTGTCTCGGTACTTTGTGTCTCAAAAGAGAATTACAGTACTTAGAACAGGACTGCAATTTGAAGCAGGTGTTGTGTTTTACTGTTATGCAAAATAACAGTAAAATATAATTGTGGGAGAAATTAAGGAAACAGCTGCAAACTTGGTATGAAAACTGCTACATTATGATTTGTAAGCAGTTCTTATAGATATCTTACATCAGAGGAGCAGGGAAAGATTTTAATTTAGTTAATCCTACTGGCCTGGTTGTCTATCATCTGGCGCTTAAAAGACTCATACCTCCCATGAAGTCAGGAAAAAGAAAGAGAACCCAAAGTGACACTTTGTTTAAAATGCCAGAGCACGGGGATTCATCTCTTGGCAGTGCACTTGACATTAGGAAGGCAGGCAAGGTGGGTGTTATTTAGCTTGCTTTGCTAATATGAAGAAGGCAATGATTTGAGTAGAACACTCTGGAATTTCTTAGCCCAGCTAGCATATGGGGGATTACTCAAGCCCCGGGTTGTAAAATAATAAAATAAATGGCCTATGGCAGGCCATCTGCCTTTTGCTCGATATTTAAGGTGTTTCATGCCAATTTTAAATCTCATCTTATTATTCTAAATATTTTTATTTGAAATAGCAGATAAGATTCTCAGAGCTTAATGGTGCACATGGCAAACCTATTCTGACGTTGTGCACTTAAAGTAAGAGCATGGGTTACCTAAGGGTTACCCAAGGAGTGTACTACGGCTTCTTCTCTACCGCACTGATCAATTGCAACAACTTGGACATGAGAATTTGCTTCCCTCAGCCTTTGCACACCTACCATAAAAATAGACATCTTCATTTCTCAACCCAGTGCAGCAAATAATATATTGACATTTATGAAAAAATCAGAACTAATGGAAATTTTAAAAAATGAAACCAATTACTGAGAATTACGTTGCACCAAGAATGAGGTGGCAGATGTAATGGCCGCCCTTCTTTACCGCTCCATCGGGGCTTGAAGAAGGGAGGTAATGAATGCATTCAAAGTGGTGGTCCAGACCTGGAGGTGTTTGGTTTTCCCCTGAGTGACTGGAGTGTTGAAAAAAATGACACTACATTTAACAAGAAAGATTTGCCTTACCATAAGGTTCTGGGCCAGTGAGGAATGCCAAGCATTGCCTACCTGTGTATTTTGGGAGCTGCTTGTGAAAGAAAAAAATATGTGTAATGTGTGGTTATTATGTGCATGTTATAGTAATACACATGTATTTGTTATAAGCACAACATTTTAAATTCTTATCTGTCATTGTGTTATATAGCTGCTTTAAACATGGAGCTTTCAAATGATTACGTGACACCAACTTTGTAAAGACCAAACATTCCAATTAGCAGGGCAGGTTTGGAAGATTCTTCACTTGGAGCACAAACCATGTATAGCCAGATGCCATGGCAACGGTGGATATGCCCCTTCCGTAATTCACGCTAAGTGCCATAATTATAATTAAAGAGGAAATCTTAGTTTGAACTCCATTGAGAAGATTTGCTAGCACCCAGCAATATGTATAGAGTGTAATATCCACTTTGAAGTGCATGAAGGGAAGAGAGTTGGGAACAGTTGTATCCATGAGCCAACAACACATATTCAGATTTTCCCTGAACTAGTTTCATGTCTAGATGTTAAATTTATGTCTCTTAGAACACCCTTTTTCTCTTTGTTCTCATTTTATATACATTTTTTTTTTCTTTCAGAAATGCACAGCGGTATTGATGAGTAGATCCTTGGATTCAGAGGTTGGCTGAAACGCACCATGCCTGCTTCCATCTTTTGCTCTGTAAAGTTGTGAATTGCTCATGCCTATAGGGAGGAAGGATGGCACATGGGATTCCTTCTCAAGGCAAAGTTACCATAACGGTGGATGAGTACAGCTCAAACCCCACCCAGGCATTCACGCACTACAACATCAACCAGAGCAGATTCCAGCCTCCACATGTACATATGTAAGTATCGCTTATGAACTTAACAAAATTAGCAATCAAGAAAATAAAAAGAAAAAAAAGAAAAGCATTCACTATTAACTTCTGCTAGGGAGACTAAAAGGTAAATGATTTACAAATCAGATGGATATCTGTGGTTTCAAATACAGCTCAGGAGGAATCCCATACATCTGTGTAACATTTCAAATTTTCAGAGCACTTTCAACCACAATTGAAATTAGATTTTCAGAGCCTCTGAGGACTGGTGGTTGGTTGCCCCTATTTATAGATAAGAACGGAAAAGAACAGAGAGGTTAAAGTATTTGCCACACAGCGAATTTGCCTGAGACTCCTGACCCCTAGTTCAATTTGCTTTACATTGTATTGCTTGCCTCCATTCTGAAATATTTCTTTAAAATTTCTGTAGTTTTTTTTTTTTTTCCCACACCTCACCCCACTAGCCCTTTACATTCAGCTGGGAAATAGGCCTAATTGGGACTAATTGTCCAGCTACTGCTAGATCCATTGTCTTGCCTGTTGCTAGTGAAACGTGTGCTGCATGCTACAGGACTCAAACAATATGGGGAACAAAGGAATAAGGGACAGTGGAACAGTTGGTTCCAGGAATTGTACTTTCCTCTCACTCCCTAATACTATTTAAGTCATGTTGAGGTTTAAACTGTTTAAGGAGCAAAGTGTGGCAGAAACCCAGAGGCAAGGATTTTGCAGCACCTGGTTGCACATCAACTTTTTTCTGGTCCTCTGCTACAGGATGTGCTGGGCTTTCAGAAGAAGGGAGCAAAAGGTCACCATCTCTCTTGTTTATTCAAGGCCTGGTGCTCATTCTCTATGAGACCCTTCCAATGTCTAACATGAGTCTTTCATAGTAGGACTAAACCTCTTTGAAAACTATTGTATAGTCAAGATAGAAAGGAGGTTAGAGCTCTGTTGACTGTTTTTACCACTCCTGGAAGAATTGAACTCGGGGCATGTCCAAGTCACAAGCTCTTTTTTTAGGAATTGTTTTACATGAGCATTTAAAAAAAAATAGTAGGACACCCCAAATACACACACCCCCCCACCCTGGAATTTACAAACGCTAACCAAACAAAAGGGTCTTTCCATTGACTGCCTGGATATTAGTGTAAATACTAGGATGTTGCTTTGCAAGTATATTCTGG
The DNA here is from genome assembly GCF_000001405.40 of Homo sapiens. NCBI lineage: Eukaryota > Metazoa > Chordata > Mammalia > Primates > Hominidae > Homo > Homo sapiens. The sequence continues at coordinate 30,579,088 of NC_000011.10, read as the reverse complement.
AGAGCGAGTCAGTTACCTATGATGAGATTTCTGCAAAGCAGCCGTTTTAAAGCAGCATGCTTGAGTGACCAAAAAAAAAAAAAAAAGGAAAAGACAATCCTTGTAAGTGGTTACTGCTAAACTATTTGAAAGAACTTTATACGTTCTTTAAATGAGAATATATTCATGATTATGAAGGATCGCTAACATGATTTTAAGGAAAAATGGATAAAGTTTTTCTTTGTTAAAATAGCTTTTCTGAACAATAAATATCTGTTTAATTCAAATATTCTTTTTATTCTACTGTTTCTATTTACTTGTTTTTCTTCAAATATGTTACAATATTTGTGTAAGCCATACTTTAGAATAGCTTCAGTTCTGTTTTGCTGGTGTTATGTTTTTGTATTAAAGAACTACAAGGAACTTTGTAGATGCTGTTTCCATTCAAGCAAAACAAAGTGTGTTTTGCCCAGATTCCTTGGAAAATGACTGCTGGGGAACCTCAGCTTAGTTCTCAAGTCTGCAGACATCTGCTCACTTGTTCTTGGCCTCAAGATTCCACTGGCGAACTGTGAATGCACAGAGATATTTTAAAAATCATGTAACTTTAAAGTTGATCTGCTTTTATCTAGCCATAACAAATTTGAAGGATCAAATTATACCTCTTTTGAAAAAAATGGCTTGAAAATGGGGCAACCTAGACAGCTGTGTAGTGCTTTCACCAGACTCCTGATCTTGGAATAGAGGATTCTTCTACAGGCTAGTTCCAGTGTACCTTTTCACTTTTATTGCCAATAAGGGCTTCCCATCTGAACCCTCTGCTTCAGCCACACAGTTTGGCTCCCTGTCATCTGAACACATCTTAGCACCTTCCATCTTGGTGCCATTGCCATCACTGTTTCTTACAGAGCGTAACACATTTACGCTCTGCTCATCAAATGCCTCAAAGCTAGTTTAGGTTCCTCCACTTAAGCCTTTTCTACCTATCCGTTTCCAATCCAAAATGATCATGCCTGCCCAAGTTACTTGGCAACACTTTATACCACCTCCATTATTATTTTTCTTAATCTGTCTGTTTCTCTGTCTACCTACCTACCTATCTACCTATCTGTATCTATCTATCTGCCTATCTGTCTCTTATTCTTTTAATTTTTTACTTCTTAAAGAAAGGCTTGTTCTTCTGAGCAGGTGACAGATGCTCAAAAACACTGGTCAATTGATCCATTGATTTGATTATGCATTGAATAGAGAGAATAGATTGATGCTTGGAGATTTTCACTGGAATTTTTCTGTCAGTTCTTGACATTTTGAATGTTTTCATGATGGTACGTGTTGTCAGGAGGCTGGCTTACCTTTTCCCTGGCTTTACTCTTTCTTGCTTGAGAACATGCCATTGTTTTGTAGGCCTGATGGCCTCACACAGTGACTGACCTATGGTAGGTGGTCAGGGATCTTGGTTGGATTTAATCATGTCATATTTCTGTTATGTTAAGAAACAAAAATTGGCCTTAATCTAATTAGAAACTTTAATTGGCTAGAAAATATCTATAAAATATTTAGTCTAAAATGTCTTCAGTTTTTCTGAAAATTTCAACATGTCATGGCAGAACTTTGCTCCTCTCCCCGAGGTAAAGATATTTTGTCTTTTCCACTTGCGTAGTTGCTCATTTATTTTGCATGGGATTGTTAAATTATTTGCTTCCTTTTTTCACTTACACTTGAGATTTCTGAAGACCCCTGACAGATCACTTGGATTATAGTTAAAAACCCTATCCCTTTAATGATGTCTTACTTTCTTTTCTACAGCCTTGTGATGGTAGTTGGGGTTTTTCACCTTAATTAGGAAGAGCTCACTTCCCATTTAATTCAATTAGTCTCAGCTCAGCTTTGTGACTAACAAATTTTCTTTTCCAAGTCTCAGTTTACTCATCTGTAAATATTTGCACCAAATGATGGTTAAGGATCTTTTTAGCTCTGACTTGCTAAGATTAAGATTGCAGTTAAGACAATGTTTATTTGCAAGGCGATGCTATTAAGGAAACAAAAATAAATAAGACCCAGTCCCCATCTTCATGAAGCTCATTGCTGATTTCAGAGCTGATGTTTCAAACAGCTTTAAGAAGCATTGGTTTAGTTTTCATCTCTGAGTTCTGACAAGATTACCACCAAGCTCTCTAAGAATGACTGGCTTGAATCTCTGCTTGTTATGGAGGGAAGTTTTTTTTTTTTAGAAAGCAATCCTGTATGACCTTGGGAAAGAAAATTAAAGCACAGCTGGAGTTGGCAGAGCAAAATTTAACCTAGAATTTGTGTGCCTCACTTACCCAGACTCTTGAGCATACTAATAGATGTGATGATTGAAGCCCAGCAATTAACAGGGTTTCATTTTTCCACAACCCCTTCATCTTTCCCAAGCAGAATGATAAGAAAAATTATTTAGTATTTTTAATGATGGTGGGAGGAGGTGCTGAAGGAGCCAATGTAGGTCTGAAAACACCATAAAGATTTTGTATGTGTTTCATAATCTGAGGCCTAATCAAATGTTACAAAACTTTATTAGTAGGGTATCCAGCCATTTCAGTTTTAGCATTGAAATCCCCGTGTTATTGGAATGCCATAGGACAATAGGATACCCTACTCAGGTTAATTCTTCATGTTTTTCTTTAAGGATTGACGACTAGGGAACTCAAATCAAGCCTTGTTTTCAGTTTTAGCCACTTTCCTTATCTGCGCCTTCTGTTGTTAACACCCCTTGAATCTTACACTGCACTTGTTCTTTTACCCTGGTTCTGTGGAGGCAGGTTAGCATAGTGGTCAATATCACCTGTGGAATCAGATTACCGGGTTTAACATTTGCTTGCACCACTGACTAGCTGTATAACCAACTGTGAATACATACTCTAACTTCCTTATGTTTTATTTTTCTATCTGTAAGATCCGGACCATAAAAGTAATGCCTATCTCAAAAGGCTGTGGAGGATAGAAGGATGAAACAGTATTACATGTTAATGCTTATACATACATAGTCTATGCTCAATAAATGTTAGCTGTTATCATTAATAATTTTTTCATTGATTCTGGGTTTTTAATTTTAAACTGCCAATTCATTTGAAAAGCAGTGGAGTGTATACAAATGAATAAATAAAGTCATTGCTAAATCTTGTCCTTTCTTCCTCATGGAGCTATGAGCAGCAAAGAGTCATGGAAACTTTTCTAGGTGGGATTTTGGTTTGTCAGGGTTGGCAAGTGTCCCGGTTTAGTGCCTTTCAAGATTATAAACAGCCTAGGAGTGTCTCATCCACCTCCAGTTACTCCACGGGAGTGGCAGTCCCAAGGCGGGGATGGAATCTTGTGAGCTGAGTGCTGACTGGTTGCTGTCTGTGGAATCACAGTGGCCTTCCTCCACATGAGCTGGACCTAGGTTCTCTGTACCCCAGTCAGTTTCTTAGACTTCCTATCTCTATCTGTGGTTAAAACAAAAACATCAAGCGCTATCTGTAATTAACCAGGATTGAGTGCAAAAGGCACAGCTTGGGCTGGGGAATGAGGACAATATACACATGGTAGCTGAGAATATGGTCTGAAATCAGCGATCTGTATACAAATACTGATCCTGCCAGTTACTGGCGTGGCTGGGTGATGATGGAAAAATTGTTGAACCTGTCTTCTCATCTGTAAAATAGGTTTAATGACCCTTTAATATGGTTGTGAGCATTAAATGAAATGATATATAATGACATATAGTGCCCAAAAGATACCACTTGATAAATAGATTTTATGATAATATATATGGTATTGTCTACCAGCTGATGAGTATGAGATAAGTTGTTAACATTTTCCTTTCTAAACTACTTGGCTATATGAAACCTGACAAGTCCAACTTGTTTTATTTTGTATTGTGTAGTATCTGTCAGTGTTGCTTGGCCATCGCTAGTTAAAAAAAAAATCTGTAGCTTTTAGGGTATCTGGGTGATTATTTCATGCCAAAGTACTACAAGATTTTGTTTGTCTGATCTGAGATTTCATTCTTATTCAGTTCAAGAATGTGGTAGGAAGTAAATGTTTGTTTTAGTTCTGTATTAGATATGCTTACGTATAAAAACAATGTTACAGAAGAGTGTTATAGAAAAGGTGTCATTTGGCTAAATAACTATATAAAAGTGTATGGAAGGATAAATAACATTACTGGTGATTTTTAGGGAATACATTTGGAACTGAATTTGCAGGAGGGAGTGTTGGATAAGGACCTTTTACTTTTTATTTCTTATACTTTCATATAATTTGAATTATTCTTACAACAAGTATGTAACACTTTTATGATTAAAACTTTTTTAAATTGATAAAAAATGTAATTTGTCTCCAAGTCCTTATGCCTGGCCTGTAATATTTGCTTTAAAGTCTTGATCTGATGCAAATCTTCTATTTTCTTTTGTACTCACTTTCTTGGGTAGCACCTTCTTCTATTTTATATTGCAATCAAGGAATAGGCCAAAGGCTGTTCATTGGTTCAGTATAACTCAACTTGCTCAAGTGTGGGAAGATGAGAACAGTGTTGCCTACTTCGTCGTCTTATAACTGATTGGAAATTTTTAAAGAAGTATGGTGTCACTTAATGACAGGGATACATTCTGAGAAATGCATCTTCTAGGCGATTTCGTCTTTGTGCAAACATCATAGAGTATATTTACACAAACGTAGATGGTATAACCTACCATACACCTAGGCTATATGGTATAGCCTATTGCTCCTAGTCTACAAACCTATATAGCATCCTACTGTACTGAATACTGTAGGCCATTGTAACACAATAATAACTATTGTGTATCTAAATATATCTAAACACAGAAAAGGTATAAGAAAGGTAGAGTATAAAAAATTAAAAATGGTCCACCTCTATAGGCACTTACATGAATGGGGCATATAGGACTGGAAGTTGCTCTGAGTGAGTCAGTGAGTCAGCGGTGAGTAAATGTGAAGGCCTAGGACATTACTAAACACTACTGTAGGCTTTATAAACAGTCTACACTAAATTTATAAACAATATTTTTGTTTCTTCAACAATAAAGTAAGAAACAGCTTACTGTAGCTTTTTTACTTTATACGCTTTTTAATTTTTTAAAACTTGTTGACTCTTTTATAAGCCAGATTAAAACACAAATACATTGTACAGCTGTACAAAAATGTTTTCTTTCTTTATATTCTTATTCTATAAGCTGCTTTTGTACCAAACTTTTTTATTTTTATTTTTTTGCTTTTTAAGCTTTTTGTTAAAAATTAAGACATGGTGGGAAGGGAATGAAGGATTTAAACTACATGTTGGATACATTGTACACTACTCAGGTGATGGGTGCACTAAAATCTCAGATTTCATCACTATAACAATTTATCCATGTAACCAAAAACCACGTATATCCCAAAAGCTATTGAAATAAAAAATGTGTGTGTGTGTATAAAACTAAGACATGAACACACATTAGCCTAGGCCTACATAGGGTCAGGATCATTCATATTACTGCCTTCCACCTGCACATCTTGTCCCACTGGAAGGTCTTCAGGAGCAGTAACAGGCATGGAGCTGTTATCTCCTGTGATGACAATGCCTTCTTCTGGAATACCTCCTGAAGGACCTGCCTGAGGCAGCCAGGGTTTTAGTTAACTTTGTTTTTGTTTTTTTAATAAGTAGAAGGAGTACACTCTAAAATAACAACTAAAGTATAATACAGCAAATAAGCAAACCAGTGATAGAGTCATTTATTTCATTGTCAAATATGATGTACTATCCATAATTGGATGTGCTATACTTTATACCACTGGCAGGGCAGGTTTGTTTACACCAGTATCACCATAAACACATGAGTAATAAGTTACACCACAATGACATTATGACAGCTAATGTCATTAGGCGATAGAAAATTTTCAACTCCATTGTAATCTTATGGTACCACCTTCATATATGTGGTCTGTCATTGACCAAAATGTCATTATGCAGCTCATGACTGTATTTTCAAATCCATTTGGGGAAGCTAAAAGAGTATACAGTAATAGACTTCTTGATAGCGTTTCAGGGAATCTGCATTCTAGTCCTGTCGTGATCACTAATCAGCTCTGATATTTAGCAAGTAGGGCCTCTCTGAATTTCAGGTTCCTTACCAGCCAATAGACGTAATGGTCTTAGCATCATCTCTTCCCCTTTTAACAGTCTGGGATTTCTCCTATTCCTTACCTTTACATTTGTCCATGTAAAATTAAGAACACAAATCCCACATCATTAGTCATATTCTTTAGGGAAAGAATATAATAGAGACATCATTGGGATATGGTGGTGAGAGAAGAGAAATGACCCCTAACGCTCACACAGAGGAAAAGTCATATCAGTGGATGAATGAATGAATGTCTGGGACTCTGTAAAATGGCACTTACTAACAAGGTAGAAATTTATTTTGTTACAGAGTTGGGCTGCATTTGCTGTTTTAAAAAAATTCTAAACATACACTTCTTTCTTGGTAAGCCACTTTCTTATTTTCATTACAGATTCATCACTGTCCTGCACATTAGCATGGCCATAATTTGTAAAATGTTCTCAATCTGAAATTCATCATAGAAATGCTGAATTGTCCTTTTAGTTTGCACTTTATATATAAACACTGGATATTTTTATTTTCTTCTCTCATTTATTCTTAAAAATACGTTCTTTTTCCTATACACTCCCTGAGGGCACCTGTCTTGTGGTCCGTGACAGTTGGACTTCATTTTAGAGCTGACTTTTTCCCTATTCTGTACATTTCTTTGTTTGCACTCAAGCATTAAAGAAGCAATCTAAAATTAGATTTGCTTTTTGTCCATAGGAATTTGTTCCTAGAACCCTAGCTGTATGTTGCATAATTGGACAGTGGTTTTTGTTTATTTGTTTGTTGGCTACTTGACTTTCTGGGAGGGTAAAGAATTTTGATGAAATAAAACAAATCCTATCTTCTATGTTATACCTGGATTTTGGGTTTGGAAAGTTACCTACATTTGTAGGGATAAAGAACGACTCATAGAGAAAGCATAGTCATCGTCAACTCATAGACATATCCTGCAACTAGGAGCCATCAGATCACCTCTCCTTACAGACTGAATCTATCTATCTCCTGCTCTAAATACAATTTTTGTTTTCTAAACTTCTTTCATGGGGATATTTTGGTAAAAATTATTCAAGTGGCAAGACAAGCCAAACAGGCTGTAATGAAATAGGTAGTTTGTGTTTGCAACATACTCGATTTTAATTCTAAGCTTTCAAAGCTTATGAAGATGAGATTTTAAGATGTAGAAACAAAGCTAATGCTGCTAAATCTACTGCATCCTGCACAGCAAACTCTAGATTATTCTGAACTGTTTCCAAAAAGGAGAAGCTTACTGAGTCTTGGAAGATCTATTCATCAGTTTGTTTTTCTTCTTTTTCAGTATTGCCTTAGCTCTTTCCTTCCCATGTCTTTTTCCCTTTTAGACTTTCATAGCTTACTGGAAACTAGATGTTTAAGTAGCTATCCTAGCATGGTTAGACTATTATTTCAATATCAGTATGGACAAAACTGCTGCAATTTTGCAGACCACCATCTTGGTCTTCTTTTTTTTTCTTTTTTTGTTATTTAATGTAAAAGGTACACTTAGAAGCTTTGTCTGTGTGGAAACACTAACTCTGCAAAGAGGAAACTCTGTTGAATTTATTGGCTCCTGCATTATTTGGGTCTACATATTTTTATTCTATTTTTCTTTGAAGATTGGTTTTATTCAATTTCTGTCCCTGTAGAAGGGACAAAATATATGCAAATAAGAAAATGCATTTTTGCAGATTTTTTTATTTTTTTCTTCTTTACCACAAATCAAGAATATAAGCTTCTCTAGTTGATTTACATTTTTGTGCAAGTTTTTATTAAGCCTCAGAGCTGTTGAAACTAGTTTAAAAAAAAAAAAAGAAAAAGAAAGCTAACATCACCATGGAATATAGGGAACAGATAACTTTTTCACATTTGATAGTATTGAGCTTTAAAATCCTAAGTGAGAATTAGACCATTACCGAAGTTCCTCTGTTGGTAGTGGCTTCCTTAAAAAACTGCAGGACTCTACATCAAAACATGGACTCTACTGAAACTCACTTATTTCTTTGTACAGACTGTCTCTGAAACCTTCCAGCTCAAAGATTTGATAATTCTTGGATTGGAAAAATATCCTTTCCTGTCTTGCTGTGGGCTTTTTTGGCATTTATACTGATTGGCTAAGAAAAGTGGCTTACTTGTGGTATTTGGCTTTAGGTATTTGGGCCAAGGACCAAGTTTCAAACCTTGTACATATTTGTACACTTAGTTTAAAATATGTTTTGAACAAAGACTTTAAACTGAAATCAAGAAAAAAATTAAGTCTCCCACCAGCTAAGCAAGCTCAGCCTGTTTCCCTAATTTACTGAAAGAGTTAGCCTTCTTCTATGACATAGGCATTTTACTAGCTCGTTTAAGTCCTGAGTTTTGGGAAATTTTTCTCCAGTTTGTTTTATTTTGCTTTGCCTGGAGACTTCAAAGATAACCACCGAAGCCTATCAAACTGTATTCGATTTTTTAATCATAAAATCTTAACTATTGCTCTTAGCACCTTTTATTTAATACATTCTATGTTTAAGAATGATACGACTTTTATGTACTGGTTCTGCTTGGATAGTGCTATGGTTTGAATATTTGTACCCCTCCAGAATGCATATGTTGAAATCCTAACTCCCAAGGTGGTGGTATTAGGAGGTGGGGACTTTCAGAGGTGATTTTCTCATGAGGATGGAACCCTTATAAAAGAGGCCCCAGAGTAACCCCTTGTTCTTCTTTCATATGAGGTTACGGTGAAAAGATGCCTGCCTGTGACCTGGGAATTGGGCCATCAGCAGACACTGAATCTGCCTTGATCATGGACTTTCCAATCTCCAGAATTGTGAGAGATAAATGCATGTCTTTTATGAGCTACCCAGTCTACGCTATTTTGTTAATAGCATCTCAAACAGCCCAAGGCAGGTAGGCAGGGAATATAATGGGAAGATGAATTTTATAGAGGGAACAAGAGGAGAAATGGGCGTATTTGTGAAGGAGAGAGGGAAAAAGTAGGAGGGAATATATAGCAGATGTGTTTGTGAGATCATAACTCTTCCTTGTCAGTTACGATGTCCTGACCTTGGGCTTGACTTTAGCACCGGGAGCAGGTCAGCATCCCTAGACTTCAGTCAACAGGGAGATGAGACAAAATTGCAACTTGGCTTTCTAGGGTACACGTGCCGACTCAATATACCAATGAATCTAGCATATGAAAGGATCAGGATAGCAACTTTTGATACTTTGACCTATGTTGATCTCTGAGAAGGAATGATTTTTGGGATAATTCAAAACTTTTAGGCTTGTATTTCAATATTTTTTAAAAAATCATTTGACAAATAGTGAACTCTGAACTGACTTTCGAGAGATGTAAGACTATCTGAAGTTGTGATTTCCCAAGGTTCGCCATCTGTTAGTATCTGGGAGACTTACCATATGTTGTGCTCAAATTCTGACTTTTACAGGTTAACTTGTTTTCACTTTATTCTTCACCCATACATTTTGGGTACAGCCGGTAGCATTGAAACCTTTCTTGACTCAATAAACTTAGAGAGAAGAATGGTGAGGAAAGAACAAACAGGCTAGGAGGTGTTGACTCCTAAAGGATATTAATTCTTAATTCTTCCATAATGCAATTCAAAAAGTCTAATGCTTTCTTCATGTAAAATACATGTAAAGGCTTGGGTATCCTGTTTGGTACAGTGGTGTGAGTCCTGTTCTAACCCCTCTTGCAACTGATCCTCCTGAGAATTCGGAAGGGAAATAATAATCCCGTGGGAGTCTGTTTGCTCCACGTTGTGCCCCTCGGTGGTGGTGGATGGCTCCCCTGTTTTGCATCTCTCCATCTCGACCCCACCACGATGTTAATGGCTGTCGGCACGCTCCACTGTTTATCTTGGAATTTGATCCCATCATCTTGGCAACCAAACTGGGACCTTTACTGCTCAGATTGTTTGTCATTTGTTGTTAATTATCTGTTACTATAAATTTTGCACTTTGAGAAAAAAGGGAATGTTTTGAAATATTTCCTCCAACATGTAAGTGGAGCTTCATTTTCTGTGGACAAAAGAGAACAAAAAAAAATGAGCCCTTTTGGGAGCTGGTTTTAGGGAAATCAAGTGCCCTGGTTTTTCAGATGGGCTCAGTGAGATCCCACTAGTGCAGCCAGGATTTGCACTGAAAGAACCTTTGCAATTCAGCAGTGGTCTAAGACAGACCATTAGTGACAGGTACCCCCCATTGGAGGGAAAAAATAATTTAACTTTAAATAAGGGGTTTTGCTTTTTATCCCAATCTCTTTATGCCATAATTGCGTTTTTTGTATGCTAGGGCCTGTTCCCTTCAGCCACTTTTTAAAGATTATTAATACAAAGCAGTCCAGAGTGAGAAGTAGCTTCTGCCTGCCTGTCTTTATGAGGGGTTTATTTTGTCAAGTGTAGAATTAAAATGAGCTGTCTAGTCATTAGTGGATTTTAGTTCTGGTCTCACACTCTGCAGGAAGGGTCGTGCCATGTTATAAACAGATAGCACTGTTTTGCAGGGTGCTGTACCACAGGCTGCAGGAACCATGGTTGAGCTTAACATCTTCATAAAACGGTAAACAAAAGAACATGAAAGAGAGAGAGAGGGAAAGAATGAAGGTTTGTATTTTAGAGGGAGCATTTGAGAATAGAGTGACTGTTGCTAAGCAGAAATCTGGGCACCATTAACATATTTAAAAATGAAGTCATTTGAGAAGTTCCAAAAAGAAAAAAAAAGTATACCCAGAACTACTACTAGTGTCTTATCTTTATAGCAGGGATCATAATCATATATGCTTCAAAAAGTAATGGTGAGGGTTATAGAAGATAATGCTTAGTGCCCAGTAAAGCACTTAGTGCAGTATCTAAATGTTCCATGTATGGTGGCTATTATTGTTAATAATATTGTGTGTCTTTATTGCCTCTAAAACATTAACATGAGCTTCTGCAGTTTTAATAGTGATATGTAGTCCATCATCACTATAAGTTTTTTCGTGCCTTTAAGTTTGGTGTGTCTGTTTTATTCTTGTGAAGAAGTTTTTAGGGTTTTGCTCTCTCCCAAGGGAGACACAGGGAGGGAAGGATTGAGTCTCTGTTAACCTGGTAGCCAGGGGCAGAGACTTAATAAACACTTAGCTCCTTGCCTGCTGCCTGAGACAGTGTAACTCTCAGTGATGTGTCTTTTACTGGAGTTGTGGAATTTGCTTGGGTGAAAATGTTCTCAAGTTTATAGGGGTTCATGATAATAGTGTTGGCCCTGAAATAAAGCACCATTTCTAAATATTCCACTTTCACTATCCTTGTATGTCTTCTTTCTCAGTGTTTTTCAAAGAGAACAGGATAAGTGCTTGGGCACTACTTTAGAACACAGATTATAATCAGACTTTGGGATTAAGACGTGTAGCCAATGTATTAAATTAGTCACTTAGTAACTGTTTGAGTATGAGAATAAGAAACTGGAGGGAGGAGATTGGGAGCTGGAAAAAAAGCACCCCCTGATTGCTCTCGGGGAGGCTGGGAAAAAGGATTTAACACTTTGGATTTTTTAGGAGACATTAAAACTCTGATGGGATCAAATTACTTGACTGCACATCTGAAACATGAAACTCTTGCCCTAAACCGTGCAATTGAGTTAAGCTCAAAATTCTAGGCCTGCCCCTAAGACTGGCCTCTGGGTAAGCCTCATTGTTGATCGCAAAATGATTTCCTTTGAGAGGAACAAGACTACAGTGAGGTTTTTATGGCCAATTTGGTCTGTGCATTGGTGCCAGCCAGACTTTTGGCAAGAGTTAGTGCCAACTTTGGTGATCTGTCCACCGAATTTTTCCCAAGGTCTTCAAAACCGTCTGGATTTACTGCTGACATTGAAGGAAAGATGCATTATAAGTCCAGCTTTCTAGGCACACCTCCTGTATTTTTTGTTTTTTCAAGTAGAGAGATACTGAGAGGTGCCAGAGAACAACAGGCTGATCCGTGGCCGTAAACTTTGAGTCACAAAAGAATGTTGACAGTCTTCTTCACTAAACACTATTTTCTCTCTCTAGCTTTGTCCCCTTTTTAGGGAGCCCCTGTCCTTCTCTCTGGATTAGGTGTCCCCTTATACATACTCCCAGAACCTGTGAGTGATACTGTCCTTTGGCTGCACTTATCTTAAATATATTCTTGAATTGTTGGTGAAATGTGTGTCTTCCACTAGGATATAAGCTCTATGAGGGCAGTGACCTTATCTTTTTCGTTTTATTTATTTTTTGCTGTCTGTATTCACAACACCTATCACAATGCTAGGCATGTTCTGGAGACTCTGTCAACACCTGTTGAATGAATGAATGAATGAAAGCTGAGTTTGCAAGGATTCGAGGAATTAACATGTGCTTCCCCAGGAAGTGAGTGCTGCCTTGTAATCACTCATTCATTTTGAGAGCATGTATGTAGACTTGAGGGTGTACTTGGCTTTAAAAAGGGTAACTTATGTAAGTCTCCCGTGTTTTTTTCAGGATGGAGCTGGATGAAGCTCAGAGTGAGTATTTCTGATACTCGTACACTAATGCTATCATCTCTGCCTTCAGTTGACTTTTGCTTTGACAGTAGTAAACTCTCATTTCTAACATAGGAAAAAATATCAAAGCTTCCACTTTCAATGTGACCCTAGAGATTTGGGTTTTCTATATTGTTCTTTAATTTTAAAATGGAGGCATCGGAAAGTATATTGTTTTAACTCCTTATAAAGTGCTCACTTATTGATCATATTTGGAGTCAACAATTATCGGTCAGAAGCATTAAATTAATTAAGATATATTTCAGCCCACTTACCTGGAACGTGACAACTGCTCCTAATATGTGGAGTTTACTTGAAATGAAGACCATGAAAACGGGTCATCTGTCATCATGGGAATCATGCGTTTTGAATAAGGCGAACCAGTTTTTATTCTGTACTCTGATGTTTAACAACTCTACATTTTTTTTTTAATAGTAAACTCTTAAAATTTTTACAGAACAACTTTTTTGACAAAAATCTGTGATTTGGGTTAAATACAGATAACACCGTCATAACAGTATTGGTATGGCAGTGGTTGAAAACCATTCTTAAAAACATTGACTTAAAGGTAAAACAAAGGAAATTCAAAGTAAGTATGCAATGGAGTTCTAATTGTGGGTGACTAAACTGTCAACACCTTGAAAAGCAAATGATCAGGAAAAGATCCTGCTGTAAACTGCCAGGCTTAAGAAAATTTTACATGGCACAGAAATTAAAAGAGGGGAGATACTAAGAAAGAGAAGTCTGTATCACAAGCACTTTTGGGGCAGGAAGTTTTTAATTTAGATGACTGACTTCAGGTTTTCTCTCTAACTTTCCCTGTGGCTGTGTCTACTAAGGAAGGTGTTGTATAATTAGACTTTCTGGAGATGACCTTTGGCTGAAGACCTAATTGAGTCTCTGGACTTGAGTGCAGGGTTGGAGCTGGAGGAGCTTTTTGCCCTGTAGGTAAAGGGGCTCTGATGGACCTACGTCTTTGATAAGTACCTGTAGGGCTGGCAGTGACATTGTTTAGGTAAATTATGGTTTAGTAATTGAGGAGTCAGTGCTCCTTAGTATATGAAAATCTTTCTTTAAAATAGGGAAGACACCAAAATCCACATGCGCAATTTAAATGAGCCTGTATTCTGCATTATAAATATGCACCGGATGCCAAGTAGAAAACCGGAACACTCTCTCAGGATGCTGTTAGGGCCAAGCGGAATCTCATTAGGGACAGCTTCAAAGATCAGTTCCTCGCGTCCATAAAAACAAGTGTAAATTATCTGGTGCGCGCCTGCTGTTAGCAGTTGCGGTGTTGCATTATGCATGATTCAAGACTGCACAGGGGAGACACAGGCTGCACGGAGTTCCACAATATATGTGGGGATTTCTCTACCCATTTTTTTCTTTTTGGTGCTGAGTCCTACATTTTGGAAATTTATTGGTGTGTTTCAGTTAATGGAGGATGTCATATATAACTCACTCTTACATTTTTGATGAATTGGAGTCAGTTCAGAGAGGAATGATAAGGTTCTGAATTGTTTACATGAACAGCCACGCTACTCAGATTTATGTATCTTGTTTGCTCACACATGGAGTCAGATTGGGGGGCATGAATGCATTCCATGCACATAGAATTGAGTGCATTTGTTTCAAGGACTCTCTCCCTCATTTTGGTCTCTTGGTTAGATTTTTTAAAATAAGTGTGAATGCTCAGTAAATTAAGAACATGTAGTCGAGTTTAACATATAAGGCTTCAATAAATAGTTTTGTAATAAATGCCTAAGGGTCTGAAAATATATTTCTGAGCTTCATTGCCTGAGGAGACAGGGAAGCAATATAGTGTTTAAGAACGTGGTTTCCAGAAGCATACTGCCAAAGTTTGAATCTTGGTCTCCCTCTTACTCTCTGTGCAACTTTGAGTGAGTTACTTGACTTCTCTGTGTTCTTATCCATAAATGTGACCTCTCTGTGTTCTCATCCATAAATGAGGGAAGCAAATAGTACTTTTCTCAAAGGGCCATTGCAAAGGTTAAATCAACTGCTTTAAGTATAGTACCTACCAAATTTTCTGGGGACGTAGTAAGTTCTATAGAAGTGTTTCATTTGGTGTTATCGTCATGATCAGAGGTAGAAGACCTTCCAGTGCAGCTGGGCATGACTAGGTATAGAACACCCAGAGCCTGAATTTATAAGCCTATGTTTGCTTGAATGGATAGATATACATGAAAGCTGAGGGCAGACAAAGTCAGGGAATGATTACCTTGGGGTCAATTAGAAGAAGCCACTAAAAATACAAAATGCTTAGTAGATGTGTATCTTGCCAGCCCAGGTGACTCACAGAGATAAACATGAGATCTTGAGAAAAGGTTAAGACATAGTAGCAAGAGGGAGTTAGCTTTCCTCTAGCCAGAGTAGAAGAAAGAGTTTGTCAATTTCCTTTTCCCAGTTGTTTCTCAAGGCCTGTTCCCAGAACAAAGAAGCATGTGGGAGAAAGATCAAAAGATCAGCCTTACACAGTGTCTCATGACTTAAATCCATCAATTTCCCAGCACAAGTTACCTCCATTTTGACATGTACATTCGCTCCTATAAGGGGATACCCACACATAGCAATATTGCCCTTTCTAGACTGGAAGCCCTATAAGGGCAGGATTGATGCTGGCTGATCTTGAATCCTCTGCCTTGTCCATGATTCAGTAACAAATTCATCTTTGACAAATCAATAAACAGTCTTCAATATGTATTTCTCCTGTCATTTTGTCCTCACAGTAAATTCTCTCTGAACTCAGAATCTCCCCACCCTCTTTAGAGTTGCCTCTGCTACTAACATGCTTACCTAAGCACTAGTTAATGGCCTATCATGCTTGCTTCAGTGTCCCTCCTTACAGTTTGCTGAAATTGCCCCTACTATCTCCTGTCACTTACTTATCAATACCTTAAGAATGGTTTGTTGGGAGCTCTCATTTTTTGGCACTAAGTGATTGAGGCTACCTTGGGTATTCTGTAGAGGTGAGCTGCGCCAGCATTACTGCCTGACTTCCACCTCCTGTCAGATCAGCTGCGACATTAGATTCTGATAGGAGCCCAAACCCTATTGTAAACTGTGCATACGAGGGATCTACGTTGCTTACTCCTTATGAGAATCTAATGCCTGATGATCTGAGGTGGACCAGTTTCATCTTGAAACGTACCCCCTCATACCCCCATCTGTGGAAAAACTGTCTTTCACCACACCTGTCCCTGGTGCCAAAAGGGCTGGGGACTGCTGATCTATAGGACAGGGAGGGAGGAAATGAGCAAGGAGAGTGGGATGTCTGGGGGAAGCTGGGTGTCATTGAAAATGTTACAGTAAATCAATAAGTATTTATTAGAAGTAGCATGGGATGCAGGGATCCTGGTTGTTTTGCTTCTCGTTTTATCCCCAATGCATAGTACAGTGCCTGATGCATAAATAATTATTGATGAACAAATTAATGAAGGAATGTTTTATTTGGTTTAGCAGTCAGGATAATATAGAACCATAAACCCCCAATCCTTGTCTGCTAGCGTGTCTTGCCTGTTTACAGAGACAATCAAATGCATCTGAAATAAATAATATTTAATAAAATAATCATGTGTGCATTATTGGTAATAGAATATCAAGGTTCTTAAAGTACTTTTGTGCTGTACTCACTGTGAAGGAAACAGAAGTAGAGAATTTTACGTATGGCCTACTGGCAGCCCAGAGAGGTTGAGTGATGTGCTCAAGGTCAAGCAGAACTGCTGGTTTCTAGTACAGAATGTGACTCTTTATGACCCTTAATAAGCTGTAGGTGCCTAAGGAACTTACAGTTTGGGGCACAATAAATGCTAACTGAGTAGGAGAAGCAAGGAAGAATTCAAGAACATGTCTAAAATAAGATTTTTTGGGCGTCTGCCTTAGTTCTACTGAAATGCTTTACAATGTTATTTCCTAGTTTTTCCCTGTAGGCATGCATCAGGTTTGATTCTTCTCCCAAACGTGAAAGAAGGTAGGCTTCCCGTAGGAGGCAGCCTGTGATGGAAAGCAGTTTAAAATAAACAGGAGCAGCTATTTTCTGCCCTGGAAGATCACACATTACTTTCATTTCAGAATATGTCCTCCTGTTTCTACCACTCTTTTGTCCTTTGGTTCTTCTCAAGTCTGGCAGCATCTTCTGGCCTTATGGGCTCCAGAAACCACTGCCATTTCCTATTCAGAGCCTGTGCACACTTGGACAGCAATTGCATTTTTGCTTGGTTGTGGGAGTTGAGAAGTATGTGGCCATATGCTGTGGCTTGGATAATGGCTTACATTTCAAACAAGTTAGGTGGTTTCTGGCCCACTGCTTGCTGTGTGTGGAAATGAGCAAACCTATATGCTTCTAGGTCTTTTCCATTTGGAGACATGAAGATGAAAGGTGGGATGCTTCAACCCAGTACATTTTACAAAGCTCAGTTTGAGTGTGGTTTTCAGATCTGACTATGGTCGAGTATCAAAGATCAAGGGTAACTTCAAAGGCACCACCATTTTTGAGAAGTTCACAGAGGTTACTGTTTGTAAATGATGTCTCTGACCAAAAGGAAGTGGTGTTACTGCACAGAAAATTGCTTCTGTTCTCTATCATTGGTGTTGGCATCACTTGGTAGGCTACTGAAGTGCATCTTCTTCTTTAGGGTTGAGAAACCCTGTGGTCACAGGTTGCTCCACAAGGAGCACTTTTAGCCACAGGCAATTTTCCTTTTGGAAAATGTGGGGTGGCAGGTGTAAGGTATCACATTAAACTTCTTTATGTTGGACTGCAGCTGGGCCCAAGTTGGCTTTGATAATAACCCTCTTTGCCTAGGTTGCTACGATCTAGCTATCAGTAAGGCTGCAGCCAGACTCCTAGGATGTTGGCACAGTGGCTGGTGGCTGGGCATTGGTTTATTTGCCAGCATTGAGCCAGTATTACCTGTTAGACCTTTAAAAACTGAGCATCTCAGGACATACTAGAATTCTTCCAGCTCTGTTGCTTTTCTGGGAAGTTCAGAGATGGCATTTGGCAGTACATTCACATTTAGTTGAGACTGTTGAACTTCACATTAAGTTGAACTATTGAACTTCATAATGAGGAAATTATCTAATAAAAGCTCTAGTTTTTGGTGATGATTAAAAACAGTGGCTCTGGAATGCTCAAGACCCCAACTTAGTAGGCAGAGAAGTTCATAAAATACACATTGTGCAGAGTCCAACTAGTGAATATACTGGCTGTAGCAGTATTTATTTCACTGTAGAAATTATATATCTATGCAGTCCATATTGAAATAAGTGTGTGTGTGTGTATATGCACACCCACATGAAGGTTTAAAATTAAACATAGATGAAAATGCTTGCAGAACACTCCTTTTGGCTATTTAAAAAACAAATAAAACATTGGACATGTTTGCATGTGGGTTGAACACCTCAGCTAACGATTACTCACACAGTTGACCTTGTTTTCTATTCAGGGCACCAAGAAGCCACGTTGTTAAGCATATTGGGTCAACCCAGGGTTCACGTTAACATCATTTTTCTTTCTGTGGAGATGTAAAGGTCTTCAGCCTGATTGTTTTCTTTTTCTTCCACACCAGGTGGGGGGTAGCATGATTTTTGCATGACTATGGGCCTGCTCTATAAATAAGCAGATTCAGTCCTTTGTTTTAAATGTAATCAGCAAGATTGCATTTGCATCGCCTGTAAGTGAATCACATAAGTGAAATTACATTGCCTGCATCTCATTTGGTATCATAAAATGTTATGGGATGCAGGCTGTTTTTCTCCAAGTAAAGTGTCTTGAGTTAGTATTAGGGTGCTTGCTTTCATTTTCCTTTGTGACCAAATTTGTGGCATTCTACGGAGCTAGGGCTTGTATTTTCACTTATGTTAGTTGCTAGAGAAATACTTGTTCATGTCCTCTAGAATAAGCTAAGATATTGGTTCAGTAGGGGGTAAATGGGAGTTTTAAGACTATCTCATGCCGTGTAGCAAGTGATTGCTAATCACTTTCTGTCGTTTGTGACAACTTCTGCTTACTAAGAGTAAATGCCAGTCAGTGTTGGTTGGAAATATAAAGCAATCTGAAGCTTTTCAGGCAGTTGGCCACAGAAAATGGTTAACATATTTTTTTTTTTTAAAAAAAAAACTTGTTAGTCATCTTTTAAGCAACTACTATGAAATACATATCTTAATTGACCCTTTAAGAGGTATCCTTAAGACAGAGGACTCAGAAGTCATTGTAAGATTCTCCCACTTATTTTCTTGAAAACAAATAAACACAATAAAAATAATTACTGACTTCAAAAGTCAGTAATTTTGGTGACAAATGAGAATGCTGTATTTCATACAACACCTCCCCTCTCCCCTGAGGTTTTCTTAATTCGTGAATGCTGGTGGAAGTCAAAGCAAAGGTATGAGTTCTTAGATAACCTATAACACAGTGTGGTTACCCACAAAACATCTGTTTATTAGCTACATTATTGATAAAACTCCACAAGGCAACAGGCAGCTATAGTGCCCATTATGCCCTTTGGCATAATGTGAAGACTATTTTCAAAATAGGGCATAATGTGAAGACTATTTTCAAAAAGGAAATACATGTGAAGACTATTTTCAAAAAGAAAAGGCATGCCAGTCATAATGATATACCAACACAGTGTAGGTGCTTGATACAAAATGCCCTTTGGTTATTTGGAGAGGTATTAAATTTAGTATGCCTCACATGGAATAAAAATAATTTATTTTTGAAATTATATTTAAAAACTAAAATTAAAAAAATAACTTTCAAACATAGCTTATAATTTTTTCTATAAGACTTTGAAGGAGATACGCAATTTTGTGTTCCCATATTATTTAAAAGAATGTATCTAGGAAAAACATTTCATTCGGAAGGAGAAGATTGAGTATAGTTTCTTTTTAATTAGTAAGCTTTTAATTGACACATCATGCAAGTTAAAATGTATACAAATTAAGCATGTTCATGCAATAAATTTCCACAAAGCAAAATACTCATGTGATCACAATTAACTATGGTTTTAAAGATCATTTTTTTGTTTTAGTTTGCAAAATAATATTATGAAGTCATAAGAATTTAAATATGATTGCAATTTACAATACATTTTTATTAATAAAAGTTGTAAAGACCTTTGTTACTATTGCTCTGTGGTTTACAAAGAAGATAATTGTGAACACTGGGATCCCGTTGGGTTCCTATAGATTCCCCTGCAGCTGGGTGTTTTAGGGCATAGAATTACATATGTGACTATTGTGACTTTTATTTCAACTGGACTCTAAGGAATACTTTTCATTAGTAGTCATTTAAGATTTCCTGGAAGCTCTTCTCTGTGATTTGAAAAATTCTCTGGATAATATTTCCAAATTGATGACCTTCTGGAGTTAAAACAACTTTTTCTTTGGTCTAGCTTTAAAGATATCTTTATTTTCTATTCCATTCATCACCATTTTTTCATTGAAAAAATTAACCATGCTTATCCCACTTCAAATGAGCAGCTGCACTTTGAAACTAGATCCTTCTTTTGGCTGTAATTGTCCAAATGAGGAGGACCAGGTTTGTGGACTATTTGAAAAGAATTGGTTGTGACTCAAAGCATTTTTCTGCTTTCAATTTTTCTCTTCAAATTTTAGTGTATTCCCAAGCCAGAAAAAAAAAAAGAAAGAAAGAAGGAAAGAGGGAGGGAGAAAAGGAAGAAGGAAGAAAAGAAGGAAGGGCTGGGCAAGGTGGCTCCTGCCTGTAATCCCAGCACTTTGGGAGGCCAACGCAGGGTTATTACTTGAGGCCAGCAGTTTGAGACTACCCTGGGCAACATAGCAAGACCCTGTCTCTATCAAAAATTAAAAAAAAAAAAAAAGCTGAGTGTGGTGGCACATACTTGTATTTCTAGCTACTTGAGAGGCTGAGGTGGGAGGATTGCTTGAGTCTGGCAGGCCAGAGCTGCAGTGAGCTGTGATCAGTCCACTGCACTGCAGCCTGGTGGCAGAGCAAGATCTTGTCTCAAAAAATAAAAAATAAAAAAAAAAAGAAGGAAGCAAAAGAAAGAGAAAGAAAAAGGGGAAAAAAGTTTACAAAGTACATATAAGTAAGGCAGTTCTTACCTGGGAATAGCTGAACTATAGCTTTTGAGGAAAGAGAAAGATATAGGATGATCCCAGAATTTCAGCATGAGAACGACTATTGGGTTTGAAGTGTGACTATAAACCACTCAGCCAGACTTTTCTTTCTTTTTAATAAATTTACCAGAATAGGTAAAATAATAATAATAAAATACATACAAAATATATACGTGTGTGTGTGTATATGTGTGTGTGCATGTTCTATTGGTTGACCAATTCCTGCAATACCAATATCACTGAAAACAATTGTGAAACCACTTTTTGAGGATTGTCCTTGGAGCCAGGTCATGGGCACATAAAGAAAGAGTTCTTCATATTTTCCAGCCACAGACATTATCTTTACTCGTATTTATTTATATCTTCCTAGCAAGGCCCTTAGGTTCCAGTTCAACACGCCCAAGGAATAAAATTCATTAGTGAGTTCTCACATTTGACTTTCTCCCTCTGACCATGAGGCTCTTCTTACCAGGCTAATGTTTCTTTGATTGGATCCCTCATGGTCATTGCCATGAAGAGTTCTCACATACATATTACTATAGCAACTTTTCACTTATCTTCAAATATGTTGGACTGACTGTCAGAATGTTGACCCAGCAGTTGATCCAGATCATTCTATATAAATGGGAATATGGGAGACGGAAATAATTGCACATTCCATTGTTAACAGCACCAAGGTAGCTGGTTAGAGATGTTTATTGATTGGTTATTTAGCCAGTAGCCTTTCCTTAAAAGAAAACAAAAGGAAACTAACAATCATAATGGATGGACATGTGCTAAATCTCATAACTAGAAAGAATATTTGTAAATAAACATGAATTATAGCTCTGTTTATTATACAATAGTGAGAGCTAATAATTTGCCTTGACATAATAGCTGCTTTCGAGCTATCATGAGTCATGAATAAATGAAAATACCTATAAATTTCCAAAGTATATTTGAATTCTTATATTTTGCATTATAGGAAATGATACATTTTCTCCAACAAAGCGTTTTAATTGATATCTCCAGTTAAGATAGAAATATTCTAAAACTTACTTTAACCTTATAAATGAAATAGCAAATACAGCTGTTTCAGAGTTTTGATATATATATTATATATATATAATTTGCTTATTTGGCACAGTCATTCTTTTATTCATTCGCTCATTGAATTCCTGCTATGTGCCAGGCACACAAACAAACTGAATCTAGCACTGTTTAACAAAATTGAAATGATAATCTCATAAATGCATTATGGGGGAAAATGTTTCAATGTAATGCCCAATGTATCAGTCTTGATGCAAAATTTGTGATAGCCTAGAGTGTAAAACTAACCCCCTTATGATTTTGATTTTTTTTTATTCTGATGATCTTTTCCTCATCTTATTGCCCTAACTTGGTTCAACACTGCTTTTGGGGAATCCCTTCTCTTTCTTCTTACATTTTCTGGCCTATAGGGTCATATGGCTTAAGTTAGAACAAGGAGACCAGTCAAAAAGAGCCAAGGCAGACAAGGCAAAATCTACAGAAATGATAATAATAGTAATGATAATAAATAATATGGCTACCATTTATTGAATGCTTATTGTGTACCAAGCCAAGTGTTAATTGTTGTAATATATTATATCATAACCCTAGGAAGTGAGTGGTGTTATTCCCATTTTGCAGATAAGAAAACCAAGGCTAAAAGAGGCTGCCAAGGGTGACCTGGGTTTTACAGCTTGTCAATGACACACAACTTTGCCTGAATCTATAGGCCATGCTAATCTGTCAAGGAAGCAGTGACAGACTTGTGGATTAAAGGTTTGGATTTGACTATTTTATTTTCTTTTCCAAACAATGTTCATGATAAAACCATGTGGAATTGAAGTCATGAAGAAGCATGAGGTAAATGCAATCCAGACCCACAAACATATTTTTGGGATAGTTCCACTGATTGAGATTCTATAGAGAAGCATGACCTAGGATGACATCTTCACTCAGAAACAAATATGGAGGAATTCATTGTTTGGAGGTTGGGGAATGGCATGGAGAAGAGCATATTGGGTTAAGAGTCAAATGGTGTAGGCCTCCATTCCTTAGTCTGTAAAATGAGACTAATACTGGTTAGAGAAGATGGTCTCCAAGGATCCTTACATTTCAAGCATTCTAAGCTTTTAGGCTGAAGTTACTTAAAATTCTTTGTATTATTAGTTCCCGGACTTTCCACTGAAAGGCTACAGGGATTGATGATAATGCAGGAGAGAGTGGCAAATGGAAACCTCACTCTCGTAAGTCATGGAATTACAGAAGGAACACTCAAGGCTATTAACTTTCAGCTGAACATCTAAAACTGAGTGGAAAAATTTAAGAAGGAAAAGATTTTCTCTACCTTGAGGAATCTTTGGCCTGTGGAAGAAAGAGATTTCCTAAAAGAACATGTCAGTATGGGAGTATTAAAAAAATATGTGGAGACTGGGCTGGAATGAAGAATTTGAGATTCCAGGGGAATGTGCAGAGGATTTGTTTTTTTCATTGGTTCATAGACATACTCATTGTATTAGTCCATTTTCATACTGCTATGAAGAAATACCTGAGACTGCGTAATTTATCAAGAAAAAGAGGTTTAATGGACTCACAGTTCCACACAGCTGGGAAGGCCTCACAATCATGACAGAAGGTGAAGAAGGAGCAAAGTCATGTCTTACATGGTGGCAGGAAAGAGAGCATGTGCAGGGGGTCTGCCCTTTATAAAACCATCAGATCTTGTGAGACTTATTCACTATCATGAGAAGGGCACGGGAAAAACCTGCCCCCATGATTCAGTTACCTCCCACTGGGTCCATCCCATGACACATGGGGATTATGGGAGCTACGATTAAAGATGAGATTTGGGTGGGGAGACAGCCAAACCATGTCACTCATCTAAGAACCATGTGAACAGTAGCCTGAAGTACTCTAGGTCTGAAAATTCCTAGTTTCAGCCTTGCCACTGACTCACACTTTGATATTAATATCTGGGTCTCATTTTCTTATCTGTAAGATATAAAGTAAGTTTCTAAAACTGCTTTCTGGTGCCACAAATCTGTGATTTGGGGTATCTTGATATCACTATAGCAAGAGAGTCACAGTGTTGAGGTGGTGTTTGGGGTGCCTGGACTGTCAAGTGGACTGAGTCCTGGCTGAGTGACCAGTTCAGAGGACATGGACTAAAATAGTTTCCATGAGGAGGAAGAAAAAAAGTCCAACATTAGGAAAATAATTTGTAGTTGAGTGAGAATAGTTTGTCCTGTGGGGTGAATTAAGTAGATGATGGTAATTCTGCTTTCATATACCATGGCATCTGGGAAATGGTGGAGGAGACAGAATAGTCTAAACCAGCACAGCTGTGGAATCTGGGAGACTATCTGCATTTGGGGCTGGTGTGAATTGTGGGTTTGGAGAGGACAAGAAATCACAATGAGCAGTGTACTTAGAGAACTGATGTCAGAGAAGCCAGCATGTGACGTCAGGCCTAAGGACAGACACACGTGGGGATCTTCTAACCCAAAGAAAATGTGGTGCAGGCTGGGCATGGTGACTCATGCCTGTAATCCCAGCACTTTGGGAGGCCAAGGTAGGCAGATCATTTGAGGTCAGGAGTTCAAGACCAGCCCGGCCAACACAGTGAAACCCCATCTCTACTAAAAATGCAAAAATTAGCTGGGCGTCGTGGCAGGCCCCTGTAATCCCAGCTACTTGGGAGGCTGAGTGAGGCACGAGAATCTCCTGAACCTGAGAGGCAGAGGTTGCAGCTGAGATGGTGCCACTGCACTCCACCCTGGGTAACAGAGTGAGACTCTATCTCAGAATGAAACAAAACAACCTCTAAAATGCAGAGCAAGTGGCAAACATCTAATGGATATTTTGGAGTTTCAGAGCAAAAATTTTAAAACAGGAGACTACCCTTCAAGGAACAGGACAAGGACATACTGCAGTCCCTGGAGTTGTGGTAGGATAGCAAAGCTTAACAACAGGAAAGAGGCAGAAGCCCATTTACTAGAATTGAAGTGAAACACAAGCAGTGGCAGACAAGCAGAATGACTTGTCTCTGAGCAGTGTGAAGCCTGCATTAGGATTTTTCTGAGTGCCACCTACAATCAGGGTGGGTTTAGGAGCCTGGCCTTGGACTAAACTGAGTGATGGGCATAAAGTTGCCACGGCTCTGTGTAGGGGATTGACATGAGGGCGGAGAACCAGTCTCTGCAGTTGCTGAGAAATTCACAAAGTACCCAAGGACTCTAAATTGGGCAGGCTGCCTCAAGACAAACCAAGAAGTCTAGGAAGAGTGTACTTTTTGTTCTCAGTTCTTGGTTTGCTTCATGAAGTTAACAAAAAGAAGCAATAGTCCTAGGTTCTTAATCTCTAGGTCCTTGACCTTATGCTTACGATTATTTACACTCATAAATTGTCAGTGCAATATGACTCCCTGACAGCTTCCTCCTCCTTGCAGTATAGGCTTTTCTTCTTGTTGACAATAATTCTGCAATCCTTACACTCTCTGTGCCAGAGATGGTGCTTGGCATTGTAGGTACCATGTTTAACACTCAAAGAACCCTTTGAAGTGGCTGCTTATCCCTCCCGCATGTGGCTTGAATCAGAATTCAGGCCCAGCTCTTATCCTGACAAAGCCCATTGTTTTCCATTAAGCCATCCTGACTTTCAACTTGAAGCAGTTTCTTTCCTGTTTCTCAATCTTATTTTAACAGGAACGGTGAAGATTTTCAAAATTCCAGCTACTGTGCCTAGAAGTGCAAAAATGCTCTTTTGTATTTGCTTAACCTTTAACTGCTTAAAACAAAAATTCGTGTTTGTTGTTTGTTTGTTTGAACCATAAGAAATGCAAATGCAACTTAGAAGTTGTTCTGTAAGACCACACAACCATTTTTAAATTCAAAGACTTAGCTTTGAATCTTGGATTTTTAGATGATGGTCATACATGTGCATGAGGGTGTTAAAAGAGCCTTGGTAATTGTGATTTCTGATTTCAGTGTTACAGTCTATGACTATTGCAAGTTCTACATTGTTTTTTCTACCTAATGCTTGCCCTTCTGCCTTCTTTTTTAAAAAAGAAAATATAATGAACGTGGTCTGTTATTTAAAAAGTGTGTTTTATGGTGCAGTTCATGGCAAATGGTGTTGAGTGGTGATGGAACAGTGATTTTTGGAAATAAACTGAGTAGGGCAAGAGGAGAAAAGAAGGAATTCACATCTGCACCCTTGGTTTGCATTGGAACACAGGCAGCAGAGGTGGGTGGGAGGTGTTTGTGCTCTTCCCTGTGCTCACCGTGGGTGGCCGGGCCTGTCGAGAACATTATTTTATTTATCCTAGAGGAGTTGCTGTAATTGTTGACCAGAACTACTGGCATTTGGGGTTCACACATCACTGGACTCAGGGTCTGTTGGCATTTGAAGAGTAGGACTCATGGTGATTCTTACCTATCGTGAAAAGTGATGTACCTAGTTCCCAAAATGGCTTGGTTTATGACCACAGGCAGGCCCCATCCTTAGGGCTGTGTGTCTAGAAATCTTGTCTGGGCCTGACAGCTTAAAAGCCTTTGGGGGGTATAGCAAAGGGAAATGGTTAAGAAAATTGTGACAAAACTAACCTGTGAAATATCCCACAGCCAGTGAAAACGTTTATAAAGAGTCTGCAGTAACATGGAAAATGCTGACGTTATAATGGTCTAAACGGAGAGAGAGAGAAAAAACAAAACGAAACAAAACAAAACAAAAACAGAAAGAAAGAGAACCCAGAATATAACATTTTGCATGCAGAATGATTCCAATTATATTTTTAAAATGCATAGCAGAAAGATGAAATGGAAAGATACCAAAATGTTACTAGTAGCTATCTCTGGGAGGCAGAATTATGGGTTCATCTTTCTTTGCTTTTTATATACATATTCTTAATTTTACTAACGTTAATTATCCCTAACTTTAGTAAGCATATATTACATAACTAGGGTAAAAAAAGCATTTTCACAGTAAAAATAAAACTTCTTATATTTTGGGGAAACTCCCGTTTGTGGATCGGGGAAATTTGCTTGTCCCTTGCCATTCTGGCTTCGCAGATGGCTCCTGTTTGACCAGATTAACGCAGGACATTGTGTTCAAGAACACCTACCTATCTGATAGGAGTACTGAGGTGCTATAGAAGATGACAGTTTTAATAGTACCGGATGAATAATAATTTTAAGAGATGGAATTGACTTATGAAGTGTAAAATGACATGATTTTTTTCCCAGTTAGGGTGTAGGATGCTTTATTATCTGTTTATGAGAGACCTGTATTTGGAACACTTCATCAAGGAGTGTGTTCAGGTTTTTTCAACCTAGTGAAATTAGGGCAATCCTGAGAAATTTTGCAGAGGCAGAAAAACAACAAAACAATTCCAGTAATTATGGGTCATTTATACCGTGCTCAGTGCATTCTCATTACTTCTTCTTCATAACATCCTTATGAAGTATTTTTACCCCTAACACAGATGTGAGAATACTGAAGTATGAGGTTGAGTAACTTGCCCATATTCCAGAGGTTGTCCGTTTGTGTATTTGGGATTTAAATCCATGCTGTTTGTCTCTAGAACTTACTATGCTCATAAAGTTTGCTGGGGAGTCTAGAAAACTTCATGCAGGAATTTATATTAAACCATCTGTTTTTCTTTTAAACGAAATAAGAGATAGAAGCAAATAATACTTGGATCAGTAAAAACACCTGACAAAAGACAGCACTTTTCAGTTTGTAGTGTGTTTTCTTTTTGACAGTATCAAAATGGACCAAACTAGAATTCATAAATTTATTAGATATTTTAAAAGGAATTTATTTGAAATCAGGAGAAAACTTACAATTTTTCAACTTAGCATTGAGTTTGTGTAGACAAAAGCATTGGACAGGGAGGGACTATAGGTAAGCTGAGGAATTCTATTCCTCTTATAACAGAGGCCTCATGATTTATAGCATCTCTGACTATGGGGAAATTATGTAACCTTGTAAGTCCAGTATTTCTCATCTGTAAAATGGGATTAATAATACCTACCTTATAGGGTTCTCTCAAGGAATGGATGAGGTAATGTTCATAAAGTGCTTGGCATGGTGCCTAAGCGTGGGAATAGTGTTCATTGATGTTAGTGATTATTTTTATTACTGGGGGTTAGGAAGTATAGAGTGTGGATCCAGTTCTGCTGCTAACATTGGCCATGAACAAGTCACTCAACCCTTCTTGTTCTTAGACTCCAATGGGAATAATTACAATGCCCTTTTTACTGATAAGATGAGAATGAATTGAAATTATGTATGAGTCAACTTTTTGAAAAAGTATGAAAGATTCTACCAATATACATGATAAAGATGGAAGGGAATAGCAGGCAGGTCAGAGGGGCAAAGTAGTTAACTTTCTTTGGGTTTAAGTCCTAACTGGGACTTAAACACAAGTCCAGTTTGCATAGAACAAGTTGAGTGAATTATACTCAATCACTTGTGAGAAAACACTGTAACTCAGAAACCCAGCATTACTGCTACCAAATTTTCCTGATGTTTGGCCTCTCATCATGAAGGGGCCTGAACTGGACCTGGCGGGAGATTTTATTGCATTTTTTCCCCAGGCTGTGCTTTCTGGTTAGTAAAGTGTCCCGGACAGACCTGGCTGAGGTTTTACTCTTTCACTCCGGAATGAGAGGAGAATGGAAATAGCTCATTTCTTCAGCCGTGCAAGCCGTGGAAACATCAAATGTGTGTGTGAACTTGTCCATACCCTTCAGGCCAAGTGCTTTTAAAAATTACCTGCTTCCTAAATTGCCACCAGTGCTCTGGGAAGTTTTGCTGTGGTAAACTCCCATCAAAATTCCTGACTATTCTCACATCCCCTCTGCAAGGCCATAATGGGAGTACTGACGGGCTTTGGCTCTGGAAGCAAACATTTAAGAGTCAGGGCAAACAAAGAAAAATTATATTCTAGTCCTGCTGCAGTCATTGAAATGGGTTCAAGATACTCAGTGTGTTTCCTAGTATAGATGACATGCTACAGCAGGGGTGGGAAAGACACAATGATTTCTTTGGAACCAGGGGCTGATTTGTTGTTGGAGATTATAAATCTTTTCACTGACTGTTTCTCAGGCTACCATTCACCCTAGATTCCTACAGGAATCACATTGCCTCCACGGAACAGCGCCAGCCCCAGTGCTAATCAAATTTAATCTATCAGCGAGGACTGCTTTCCTACAATGGACATTGGGGGGCATTGCCCATTAAAATGTTGAGTCATTAGCACTGTCTTCAAAGCAAATCTGAAGGCTTGATAGGTGCTACTATCTTATTATTATTTTAAAAAAGCAATTGATATGGGAGTGGGAAGAGGGGCTGATTTGAACTTAACATGCCCCCTTGGCCACCCCTCCCCAAAAGATGATTTAAAAACAAGCAGTGAGCCAGAGAATTTTCAAGGCTAACTTTCTCACGTGGAAGAGAAAAATTATTGCAATGCCCTTTAGCTAAGTACACTCACTTCAGCCTTTATCGATGGCGGCAGTCACGTGTGCACCTCTTCATGAGGAAGAGAGCTTGAAACAATCACAGGGCAGAACCTCCAGAGACTAGAGCTGGGATGAGCTCTAATAGTAGGGCACAGGGAGTACCTGTGAGGTTTTTGTTTTTGTTTTTAGGAGAAGGCTTTTTGAGGAAGTAATCTTCCTGCCCAAAATTGAAAGTTAAATCTTTTCCATCTTATCCATCATTGCTCTTAACAGAGACAGTTGATATTCCTGAGTTATAGGAGACCTGCAAGTCTCTACAGTAGGCAACTTTGTAGAACTCATATGTATAGATAGTGGGCCTTTTACAGTTTAGCATTCACTTGAGCATATGAAGGAATAAAAAGGAGCAAACAGATGGGATTATGCAAACATGGTGCATTAAGAGTTTCTAGTAAACTTTTAGCAAATGTTGACACAGAATTGAGAATTATCTGAAGTTTATTCTCCTGTCCAAAGTATCCAAGAAAGCAATTGATTGGAAATAGAGCAGGGGAAATTTTGATGTGAACCATAACAAGACTAATAAAATGTAGAAATGACATATAACCAGGTACAGAAAGAAAGCAGTTACGTCCAGGATAAGAGCAAGGATGTAATTGGCTTTGTGTGTTATTTTCATGTGTGTATAGGGATGCATATGCGTACACACTGAATGGGAGCTAACTGTTAAAGTATGTTGTATAAAGTTCGATCTGTATAAAATGTGGTTTGTACTTTGAACTCATATTTTTTTGTTGCTTATAAAGTTTAGAATAAAATAACCACTTATTCCTGAAGGGTATTTGAACTGGTGAGTAGTCACAACTGTAGTCATGATGATTTGGTGTCTAGATTTTTATGTAAATTGGTACCTGGATAATGCATTCCTATTTGGCTTTAGTAATCTTCATACAACTGTGAAGTAGAGAGGCACAAGCTTTAACAAATTTAGAAAAATTCAGGTCACCTGACAAACGCAGTGTCCCCCTGGGAATTAACCTCTTTGTAAATTTGGCACTATGACTCACCTTTGTTGATCCTTTCATGACTCTCTCCCTCTTCAATTTAAATTGTTTCTTTTATGTCTAATGACATTACTCCAGTTCTTTGCTTGGTGACCTAACCTTTCAAGTCCCAGGTAAAATGCACCTTCTTTTGTGAAGATCTACCCATTTTTAAATAGAACTAATTTCTTTCATCAATATTTCTCATAGAAGAATCTCAATAATGATGGCTAACACTTACTGAGCATTCGATATGCACTGGGCCCTTTACAAGCAATAGTTACTTAAGCTGGGCATGGTGGCTAACACCTGTAATCCCAGTGCTTTGGGAGACCAAGGTGGGAGAATCACTTGAGGCCAAGAATTGGAGACCAGCCTGGGCAACATAGCAAGTCCCTGTCTGTACAAAAAATCAGAAAATAAAAACAAGCTGGGTGTGGTGGCACATGCCTGTAGTCCCAGCTACTTGGGAGACTGAGGTGGGAGAATCCCTGGAACCCAGGAGTTCAAGGCTGCAGTGAGCTATGATCGCACCTTTACACTCCAGGCTGGGAGAGAGAGAGACCCCGTCAGTTAAGAAAAAAAAAAGATAGTTACTTAATTTTTGTGTTGATAGTCAATCTTATGAGGCAAGTACTATTATTATCCCTAGTTTATAGATGAGGTAAATGAAGCTTTGAGAGGTTTAGTAAACTTGTCCAGAGTGTCATACCCAGGTAGTGGGAAAGCCATGGTCCAAAGCCAGGTCTTGTGGATTCTGTAAGTGACCTCACTGTTTGCTGAAGTGACCTCTTAATCACTTTATTCTTTCTCCATTCTCCCTCCCCAGTATGTACATAGGTATATATAATTTGTGGTCACATTGATTACAGTTTGGTATGTATGCCCTCCCAAATGAAAGTGTGAGGTTCAAGATAGTAAAAATGGCATCTTCGTAACCTCTGCAAAAGAATATTTTTTTTAAAATTGACTCAAATACAGATATGCAAACACCTGTCAGAAAATTTACTTAGGTTGTTAATGAATGAGGGAACCAAGAAAGTTGTTGTAACAGATTTGTAGAACCATGAATTTATATGGAATAAAAAAATGCTGAAATTAATTTGCAAATGGATCAAAAGTGGAGGGGAAGTCGATTGAACCTCCACTGGACATAATTTATTTGCATCTGTAGACAAAAATTATTTGCATTGCTTTTCATTATCTATAAGTTACAAAGTTATACAATACAAAGAACATAGGCTCATGGTTTAGATAGGCCAGAATCCAGATTCTAACTTCCAAGCTTAATGTTTGACCTTAAGTGAAGTTTGGAGAATTCAGAATATCACACACACATAGCCATACACAAACATCACACAGAGATTTTGAGAAGATTAAAGGTAATAATTTAGAAAAAGCCCCTGGCACATAGTAAATACTGCTAAATATTAGGCGTGATTGTTAGTAGTAATAAAGCTTCTATCAGAGCTCTAACATTTAGTTATTGCTTAGTAAATGTTTGTTGAGTGACTAAATCAGGAGTGAACAAACTTTTCCCTGTTGAAAGAGTTCTGGACATGCCACTCCTGTTGTAGCACAACACAGTAGATGGTAGTTCTCTTTGTTAGTGTTTGAAGTTGCTTAACACTGGAATTGCAGTTAGACCTAGATTTGATTCTCTTCTCAGCCATGTACTAGCTGGGCAATCTTGGGCAAGTCAACCCATCATGTCTACAACTTGGATATACAAACCCTGTGAAAATCATGAGGAAAGTATGATATACTCTGCCAAGGTAGTAAGTATGCATTTCCAGAGAGGGAAGAAAGTAGTCTTTCATGAGTTCTTTGGTTGAGTGGGAACTATGTGAGTTTTGTGGCTAAAAAGTGAACCAGCCATTTCTGCAAGGGATAAAGAGGTAGGGTAAAATAGTTCTTTATTGTTACAAAACCACCTCCAGAGAAACAAATATTAAGTCTAATAATTATTGTATTGAATTAATTTTGAAAGGTGGTTAACTGTTGACATCATGTTGTCTTACAAATAAGCATTTGTCTTCAAACTCACATAAATGATGTCCCCTATGTAGTAAAAAATGGTCTTTTTGTCTTAGGCATTGATGGTTCTTAGAAAGTAAGTTTATCAATTCAACTCAAAGTTGGGAAAAAACAATACAGACCATTAAAAGCCAACTAAAATGGCCACACACTTTAAAGAAGGCCCATTAGCCATGCAAATATGAAGTCACCTGCACTTCCAATAAGCACAATTAACTAAACAATGAAGCCCATTAACAACTACTTGTGGGACATTAAGCTTTGAGGAACTGGGCTTTGATGAGTTGGAAAGGAAGAAAAGACAGAATTTGTTCTCAATTTGGGCTGAATTTTAATAAAAAAGAAATCTTGTAGAGTCAGTTAGGGTCAGTTAATGCTCTTTGTAAACCCCACTCCCAACTCTCTCCCCTACAACATTAAAAAAACAAGCTCGTGTGTTTGATGGCTCTTAATGTTCTTTCTACTGGAGTGAGCTAAGTGAAGACATGTTTGAGGCCGGGCAGTGTTTGGAAATAATCCACATTTTGTTCATGATGTTGTAATGATTGATTTAAAACTATGATTTTAAAATAATAGTTTTAGGCATGTCTCTATTGTTTTTTCCGAACTTTGGGTTGAATTGATAAACTTACTTTTTAAGAATCAGTTGTGGCCGGGCACGGTGACTCATGTCTGTAATCCCAGCACTTTGGGAGGCCAAGGCAGGCAGATCACCAGAGGTCAGGAGTTCGAGACCAGCCTGGCCAACATGGCGTGGTGGCAGACACCTGCAGTCCCAGCTACTCAGGAGGCTGAGGCAAGAGAATAGCTTGAACCTGGGAGGTGGTTGCAGTGAGCCGAGACCGTGCCACTGCACTCTACCTGGGCGACAAGAGCGAGACTCTGTCTAAAAAAAATATATATATGTATATCAGTCATGCCTAAAACTATGTGTCCCATTTTAGAACAGAATCTGCTCTTAGATCTCTGTGTGCTGTTTTGTGTAAGAGGAGATTGTAGAAGCTGGAGTAAAGCAGACATTGAGCAGTCATACTGGAGCAGAGCCACCGCCTATCCCTGTACCTTTGCCCTATTGCTTAATCTGAGTCTCAGTGTCTTTGTGTGCCAAATGGGAAAAAGAGCCTATCGCTGTAAGGGTCAAATGAAAGTGATCCATGTAAAGTGCCCTGTACAGTGCCTGGCTTCTCAATGAAAACTGCTGCCATTTCTCATCATCATCATCATCACTATTACTCTATTCAGCCAAAAAATGATGTTCGTGTCCTGATCAGTGGTATAGATGGCTGTAAGATAGAGCTACGGGAGACTCGGTGTAGGATGTTGTAGTTCATTTTTGACTACTTCTCTACTTCTCCCTTACAGTAGACATTTATGTGATTATCATGATGGTTTCTGTTTACGATAACCATCAATTTCCTGTTGCCTTCACATTCTCTCCTTTGTATTTTCTTCTCAAATGGATTTGGTTTTGTCACTATATACCTAGATTCTTAGCAATAAATTACAAACCAACCTTTCCTCAAGAATCCCCCCACCTCCCATCCTGTAGGGAGCAACCCCACTTTTCCTAAAATTCAGCTTTCCCTGTGGCCCTCTGTTCCTCTTACTGGGTAGAGGGAGAAAGATGTTTTCCATGCCCTCCAGGTTCAAGCCCCATAGTCTGACTCCCTGAGGTTCAGACCCTAATCCCGCTGGCCTTTCAAATCTTCTTCTGCTCACCTTCATAGTGACTCTGCTTCTGCCATGCTTGTTTACTCACAAGTCCCTGAACATGCTAAGTGCTTTCACACCACTCTTAATAGTTCTCTAGATGGCCTTCTTCCTGAGTTTCCAAGTCTTGTGCTTATTTTAATTCCAAGTGAGGTCCCAGCTTCCGGCCACTCTCATGCGTCTTTTTTCTGAGCTCCTAATAGTGCCAATCCTTTGTCTCGTGCATTTGAAATCGACATACTACCTTGTGTTCTGTACCCACTGCAATGTTACCTGTCCTTCTTCCTAGCCCATAGGCAGTGCTGGATATTTTTTCCTTTTACTCCATAGCACCTCAAACATTCTTAATTATAACACTTTGTGCATTATTTCATAAATCACCTATTTACATATCACATGGACCATCTCAGACTGGCTGGTAGCTGTCTCTCCAGCAACTAGCACAGTCTGTGGCCCATAAAAGGTGCTCAATAAATGCTTATGAAATGACTAGATGACAGAGCAGCTACCAGGCATGTTCGTAAGCATTTGTTGAATAGTAAATTGGCAGAATCCTTGAGGGAACCATCTTTATTGCTTCTTTGTCTTCTTTATACATACCAGGGTACCTGGTACACAGGTAGGTGCTTAAGACATGGTTATTGACCTACTGCTTGACCAACTGACAGACCAACATACTGTGTGGAATAATGGGCACTCAGTACAGTATTACATGGCTTTTTTTCTCAAATGCAAGGCCATTACCCAGAATTTTAAGCTGATTAACGTGATTGCCATGTTAGAAGGGAGGGAAACGTTTAACCCTGGACAATACATCTCCAGTGGGATATTTATGACCCAGCGATATGTCATCTGAGAGGTTTCAGTGGCTGACACGGTAGTTAGCCTGATGCACATAAAAACACCTCAGATGGCACTAGGAGAAGGACCATGAATTCATATTGCATGCAGTGCTCAAAGAATTAAATTGTTACCACTTAACATTCATTGAATGTCGGCACTGTACTTTTGTAAGAGGAAAAAATAGAGGAGACACACTCCGTGCAGTGGGCTTTGTTAGCTATAATTAGTTGGTAATAGAACAGTGTTGATACAGCAGTTCAGCAGTTAAAGAAAAGCAGTGCCTGTGGTACAAATGTGAATATCTTTATACATCTGGTTCTGTTCTGCTTACTGTGTTTCAGCACCATTACTGTTCTGGGGCATAATGGCTAAACTAAGAATTTTACCAGCTCCTAGTTTAAAAAAAAAAAAAAAAAAAAAAAAAGAACAACGCCATTTCTGGAACGCCTTAGTTCAATCACATATTCTGTCATTTTTGTTTTTTTGTTATAACTGGAATTCTGGCTTCTTTGTTCTCTGTTGGAATAGATATATCTAGAAGCTCAGTCTACAGTCGTAAATTGCAATTTCACTTCTCTTTATTTAAAGTCTTGCTAATTCTGATTATATGTGGATGGATGTGGATGGCATTTATCTTTGCATTGTCTGGGAAAGCATAAAATAAAATTGCAAAGAGAAAAACAGGTTTGGAGTGACTTCAGAACCTGAATTGTTTCTGCTCTTTCATCGGTAAATAGTGGTGTGTAAACTGTGTGGCTAATCATGGAACTTTGGAGTCATTTGGTCTTGCCTCTCTTTTCACACTAGAGGGA
Source organism: Homo sapiens (assembly GCF_000001405.40). Lineage (NCBI taxonomy): Eukaryota > Metazoa > Chordata > Mammalia > Primates > Hominidae > Homo > Homo sapiens. The sequence goes on along the minus strand of NC_000011.10, from coordinate 30,543,404 downwards.
CAGAGGCTAGAAGATGGGAAGTGACTTGCCCAGGGTCACACAGCTGATTGATGATATATGTAGTAAGAACACAAAAGCCACTGGATTCCACAGCCAGGGCTCTTTCTAATGAGACTCATCAGTCAACTGAACTAGTCCCTCTGAAGAGACCTGTATGTGGAAGCAAAATCCATATGTGCATGTGACGTGAGATCCTTGAGAATGAGGAACCTTTATATCTTTATCAGCATTTTAAAAAACAAACTTCTGTATTGTTCACTCCCTGTAATATGCATTTTTTTCATTTAGGAGACTTATTTTTATTTTTTTGGTAAACTTAGGAGACTTATTTAGTTTAGGAGAAGTCATTACTTCACTTCTCATGTAAATTATCCATGACTGGATAGAGAGCACTAAAACTTGGATATTTTTGACAACTAATTCCAATAATTTTGGACTGTCTCTCTAGATATTAATGGTTGCCAGAGTTAGGTGACTGATTTGCCAGTATTTTGTCATTTTTAAAATTATTTTTATTCTCCAAGTGCAGGTATATTTTAGCTTGCAAAATTAAGTGGGTGGAAAGATAAGTGAATTGAAAGTTAGAAAATCTGAGTTCTACTTATGGCTCAGATTCTTCATGGTAAAATGAGTCAATTTAAACCAGATCAGTGTTTTCCAGAGCATGGACTATGTATCATTAGTATTAATAAGCAAGACACTTTAGAGGAGACATACCTTAAACAAAAATTGAACACTTACATGTTTATTTTATTTTATTTTTATTTTTATTTTTTTAAGATGGTCTTGCTCTGTTACCCAGGCTGGAGTGCAGTGGCACAATCTCAGCTCGCTGCAGCCTTGACCTCCTGGGCTCAAGTGATCCTCTTACCTCAGCCTTCTGAGTAGCTGGAACTATAAGCATGTACCACCATGCCTGGCTTTTTTTTTTTTTTTTTTTTTTTTGTACTTTTGGTTGAGATGGGGTCTCGCCATGTTGCCCAGGCTGATTTCGAACTCCTGAGCTCAAGCAATCCACCCACCTTAGCCTCCCAAAGTGCTGGGATTACAGACATGAGCCACCGAACCTGGCTCGTGTTTATTTTAATGTGTTACTACACATTAAAAAAGTAAAACCATCATATCTGACTGATGACTTCAAAGATGTTGTTTTTCAGGGCAAAACTAAAAAATATTTCTGTAAAAACTATTAAGCATCTAACAAAAATTAAGGACTAGTACAAGTGAGTAAGGCAAAGGCCATGAAGATGATCCTCAAAGAAGTGGAACACAGGATCAGATCATCTCTAAGTTCCTTTAAACATAAAAGTTCTGTAATTCTGGTAACTTAAACCTGTTATTTATTTGTTCATTGTTGTGCTGGCAGGTTTTACTTGTCTTTATCAAATAGTATGTCCAGGTTGGATGATAGAACATCACAAATATAAGTTTAGCATTAATGCTATCTAAATTTTCTGGGTGAAAAGGAAAGCCTTGATATCACATTGGAAAGTTTTTAGAGATAAAGTCAGTGGGCCAGGCACCGTGGCTCACTCCTGTACTCCTAACACTTTGGGAGGCCAAGGCAGGTGGATCACTTGAGGTCAGGAGTTTGAGACCACCCTGGCCAACATGGTGAAACCTTGTCTCTATAAAAATACCAAAATTAGCCAGGCGTGGTGGCGCATGCCTGTAGTCGTAGTTACTTGAGAGGCTGAGGCAGGAGAATTGCTTGAACCCAGGAGGCAGAGGTTGCAGTGAGGTGAGATTATGCCACTGTACTTGAGTTTAGACACTGTCTAAAAAAAGCAAAAACAAAAGTAAGAAAACCTCAGTGGAATCCATAAGCACAGCCTGAGGATTTTAAAGTGGAATGGGGGTTGCTAAAAGCACTGAAATCCCTTTAAAATGCTTTGTAAGGATACAGTTCTATTCTCTCACTGAATTATAGGTTGATTGTATACACAAAGGTTATACTGCACACATGGTCTAAAGAAGAAATCCATGTCACAACAAACCACATGACAGCTTTTCTGAAGATCTACCAATGAGGTTTGCAATACTGTATTCATTTGTTATTGGAAAAACAATAATAAATATGGCCGGAAGAGGAATCAGAATGGAAGCCATAATATTATCATATTTTTTGTGAGTAAAAAAACCCTAATATGTCAAGACTGAATAAACAAGAATGGTTTATTTGTTTGAATATGCAGTGAGATATGTAAGCATTTGATGATCAAGCTTCAAGAACAAGATTTGAGGCTTGGCACAAAACTTGGAAAGTTCATTGGAAAATGGTTTAAGATGATAGCTCAGGCCTTCTCTAGAAAAATCTGCCAATTTGTTCAGCAGTGCCACCTCCCCATGGCCTGGGCTAGCATCTGTCTTTGATGAACAGCTCATTGGTTCATGAATTCACACAGACCATGAATTCTGACACTACAAAGGGAGGGATTCTCCCCAGTGAAATTGTATCTGGGAGGAAATAGCCTTCTGAGGACATTAGACATCTTATCACACAAGGAAAAATGGAAGAAACTGTAGCTACTCCACTAGAGTGGAGATGATTTCCGGGGATTATAATAGATTGTTTTCAAATAGTTGAAGAACTGTCCAATGGAAAAGGGACTGGGTTCTTATTTTCTTGTTATTTCAGAGTGCAGAACTAGGATTAAGAAGGAGGGACAGGCAGGAAATAAATATATTAAAGACCATGGATTCCGCTCCCAGTATATGCTGGGTGTTGTGTATGTGATTTCTTTTAATTCTCACAAAGTCCCTGAGTGAGTGGTAGATGTTATTATCTCCCTACAACAGAAAAAGAGATGGAGGTCATAGAAGTTAAATGATACTACTACTAATAGTAGTAAAAATACTATTAGTTACTAGTAAAAAAAAAATACTAACATTTATTGGGTATCTACTTCATGTCAGACACTGTTCTAAATGCTTTGAGTACATTATCATTTTTTATTCTCATAACAATCTTAGGAGATAGGTACTATATTTATATCTGTTTTACTGATGAGGGAACCAAGGCACAAGGGTTAAGCCCCTTGCTTGGTGTTGCATGTTAATAAGTTGTGGAGTGGATTTCAGAGCCAGGCAGTCTGGCTCTGCAGCCAAACATCCTTCACCCTTACGCTATTCTGCTACTCTATTTTTGGAGCATTTGTTGTGTGTCAGATGCTGTACTTGATAGTTTGCATCCACATAGCAACACAGAAAATTAGGCATTATTATTCCCATTTTACAGATGAGAAAAAGTGAAGCTTAAAGAAATCAAGGAAGTTGCCCAAAGCCAATGACTGACCTAAAATTGTTACTTAGTCTTCAGGTTCCAGGCCAAAGTCTTTGGACCATGCTCAGCTTTCTCAGAGGTACAGAATCTGAAACAGAACTTTCTAACAAGTAAAGCTATGAAAAAACTAGGATGGGTTGCACAGGGGGAGGAAGGAGCTCTCCTTCTCTGGAAACCTCAGAATGAAAATTGAAGCCAGGTGGGGGTGGCTCACGCCTATAATCTCAGCACTTTGGGAGGCTGAGGTGGGAAGATTACTTGAGCCCAGGAGTTCAAGACTAGCCCAGGAAACATAACAAGACCTCACCTGTACTACTGCTAATAACAAGAAAAATAAGCTGGGTGTGGTTGCCTGTGCCCATAACCCCAGCTACTCTGGAAGCTGCGGTGGGAGGATTGCTTGAGCCTGGGAGGTCGAGGCTATAGTAGGCTATGATTGTACCACTGCACTCCAGCCTGGGTGATAGAGCGAGATCCTGTCTCAAACAAACAAACAACAAAAGAAAAAACAACCAACAAACCAAACAAACACAAAACATTATGTCGTCTAGAGGGAAGGGATAGAGGAGATTCAGATGTCATGTAAAACATTGAACGAGATGCCCCATAAGGTTTAGTCCTGCTTTGGGATTTTATGCTGCTATGTTTTTTTCTCATCTTCCCATGTCACCTTGTTGTCCCCCAGGTGTACTCAAACATATGTGCAAATATCACTCTAATATTTGAATCTGGCTCTGGGGTTTAGATTGCCTTGGTAAGATACTCACTTGCTAGGATATTTGACACGATGCCTTAGGGGAAATGTTAGGTCATTTGAGAACTCAGCAGCATAAACAGTAAGTGGTAAAGTTGTAAACTAAGGATGAAAATATAGTGTGAGGGCCTTCACACAATATGAACAGATAGGATCTTCCAGTAGCAGTTGGAGTCTCCCTTAGATGTACTTTTATAGTGAAAATGTTTGGCTGTCTTGACTTTTCCAGGTGTTTATCAAATGCCCAATTTGGGAGGAGTAGTTTCCTGAGGGTGGTCTCAGTTTTAATTATCTCCACTGGAATTTGCCCACTCTGCTAGAGGTCTTATTTTCAACTCTATGCCTGTGGGTGGAAATGTCTTCTTCCTATGAGCTCCAGGTGATATTTGTTGTACCATCTCACAGAGTGGCTTTGGCATGTTGCACTGCCTTGTCTTCTGAAACCATCTCTTGCTTTGTACTTATTCCTATGGATAGCAAAGATTCTCAGTGCCTCTGGGTCAGGATATCTATATAAAGTCTGCATCTGTATACGCCTCACTTCCCCCATCCCCTGCCTTGAATCGATCTTCTGTGCATTCTCCCTAGTGTCTACACATTATTTCTCTTTGATGGCATCATGGTGGTGGTGTAGATGTGCGAGCCTTCTTTGCTTGTCTTGCTGTCTACTTTGGACTCAAAGCTGAGAAGAAACACTTACTATTTCAGCTCAAAGCTGAGAAGAAACACTTTTCCCATTTTTACTGTCCCCTCTACTCAGCTGTTCCTTGGACTTTGATATTTAAATGTTTCTCTGAAGGAGGTGGGAGGTGGAGAAAGAGGTTGAAGTGATTCAGAAATTGCCTAGTGTTCCCCATAATGTCAGAAAATTTATTGCCTAGTATGAAGTCAAGATGAGGAACCAATTATGTACCATGTGATGATTGGCTACTTTAAAGTGGGTAGATTCATAGAACAGGGAACTATTTACAACAAGAGGTTTACATCTGTGCTACTTTCAGTCTAATTCAAAATAATGACAATGATGTCTGTCTGATAAGCTGAGATGACCTCCCAAAGGATTTTGATGCAGTAGCTGGGTCTGTAGCTTAGCTGAGTTACAGAAAAGGAGAAATGGGGCTGTGTCTGTATGTTAGTATTAGAATGAAAGCTAGAAAACAAACACTAGAATAGGTAGATATTACATTTATTCATATATTTAGAGATGTAGTGGCTGATTTATTAAATTTTCATTCAAATGTTGGTGCATTAAGTATAAATGCAAACAGTCCTATTCTAGTGAGCATTTAACTATTGGTATAGGGATATTGCTTATCACTTTTAGAGAGTGACACAGTCAGCCCCAGCAGGGAACAGTCATTCATTCTCTGGGAAAACTACTTTTCAAAGACAGGAAATGTTGCTAAGATTGTAAGCACCGAGACTGAGTGTAACCAAGTCTCAGTGATGGAAAGGAAGACATCAAACATTTTTACATCTAAAAAAGCAACATCGGCTATAATGAGGAGGGTTTCCAGGTTACTAATGAGATCACAGTGGATTAGTGAATTTTCTACGTGGTAACAGCATATTAATTTCTAACCTTTCTAACAGAAAAAATCCATTAATTTTTTGCGGAAGTTAAACTTTCTTTTTGGGCTTCCAATTAGACCCACTGTGATAACCAGTTCACAATTCCTTCCTCCCTACTCTCCTCCTTTCCTCCCTTCCTTCTTGCTCCTCTTACTTTCCTTCTCCGACACAGATAAGAGGAAATAAAAAGGTTAGTCATTGAAGAAATGTGGGACTATCCAGGTTGCACACTGATCTCTTCTATTTCCCTCACTGAAATTGTCATTGTTAAAACAGATTGTTTCTTTAAGAAAATAAATAAATAAAGGAAAAGAGAAAACAAATTAAACAAAGCCTGTAGAGGCAATATGTTTAGGGAGTCTTGTGTGGAGCTTTCAGTGTGTTCTCTGCTGCATGTTAACTATCAAGGGTTGGGGCTGGGATATGAAATATTGTTCCTTATTTAATGTTTCACACTCTAATCTCTGCATTGCATATTTGCTTCTCTTGTGACCTTCTCTTTGCATTTATAACTGCTTCTTTTCACCTATAATCCGAAAATAAGTGTACATTCCTACAGAGAAATTAAAGGAGGCTGTCAGTGTAGAGTTAATATAGTTAAAGCATCCTTAACTCTGCGACAAACCCCTTAAATAATTAAAACTGTATGCTTGAAGAGTCAGATTTGCATTCCTTTACCAAGTTTATTTAGTACACTTTGTTACACTCAATTAAATGAGGATGTTCTGTTTCATTTTCTTTGCTTTGGGTTGATCATTTTGCCTTTTGATTCTTATGCCCTGGTGTAATTTCACAGTGCTTAGGTCTCTAAAACTATACATATATTAACGTATATGTAGATATATACATCCCATTAAAAGGCTTAATATTTGTACTGAATAGAATCTTTGCCCAAGGCATTTGAGCATTCCTGGTAACCTCAGGTGTAACTGGGACTGCAGATAATTCATCGCAGTAAAAACGAGTTTGACAAAGTTCTTTTAACATCCAGTGTCTTTTTTTTTTTTTAATTTTTAAAGCTCTGTTATTTTGGCATCACCTTCTCTCCCTACGGTTTGATTTGTGAATAGCAAAAACCAGAAGATACAGGTGTTGAATGGTTGTGGAAAGGAAATTAAATATAAGTGCTATCTCTCCACATCTCAGTTGGCAGAGCATGTGCAGACTGCTCTCTGTAAATTAGTTCATTGCTTAAGTTATGCATGTTTAAGAAGGAATAAATTAGTTATCTATTTCCTAATGAGTAGTGGGATCAATTGGAGCATGATGAGAGAGAAATAGCATAATTTTGCTTCCCCAGTTGAGGTTCAGTATCCCTAAACTTCACCATTAATCACTCTATCAGTTTCCTGGGTTATTTCAGATCTATATGTAAGATATTCATTCCTTTTAATTTTCCTACCAGGTAAGTAAGTCCTTTTGAATTTGCCCAGTGGGTTTGTAAATGGGTGATGCTGTCTCTGTTACACCCAGAAGTGTCCTTAATTACAGTGGGCCCTTCTGCCTTTGCGTCAGTTTGTCTGGGTGCATTCACGAATAATAATAAATATGTATGTGCGACGACAATTTCAAGGGTTCTAATATGTTTAACTGTTATGGGATCTGTTATGTCTACTTTAGGGTCGACCCCATCCCATATGACACTCCAAAACCAGCGGGCCACACGCGGTTTGTCTGCATCTCAGACACACACTCCAGAACAGATGGTATCCAGATGCCTTATGGGGACATCCTTCTCCACACAGGCGATTTCACCGAGCTGGGACTGCCCTCAGAGGTTAAGAAGTTTAATGACTGGTTAGGTAAGGAATGATTGCGTTCTGGCGGCCCCAATTAACCTTTCCCGTCCGAGTGTCACTCACTGCGTCCTAATTGAATTAGAGCACTTGGAAGCCAGCTCAGCCATTTCTCGTATGATATGCGGTGGTGTCTAGCTTTAATCCAATTCTGTTAATTAAAGATGAATTTTTAGATATTTAATTTTACTGTGCATCCTTTCAGTGCCTGGCCTTGGTGGCTCTGGGGCAAAGGGATGGAAAGCTTTGAAACCCATCTCATCTCACTCATTCTGCTTTAATGAGGGCATTCATTGGCACACAGGAGACCTAGAATCATATTTTTAATTCATTGGCTCTGCAATCTTTTTTTCCCCAGATATTATAAGCAAAGATATACAAATGACCTACTAGTAAGAGAACATTTCTAAGAAATGAAGGGGTTATAAAAGTCCTTATATGAAACAAAATTCCTATAGCACAGTGCTGCTTGGGAGCGGATTTCCTAAGTGAGCTGGAGGGTGTTCTAGACCCCTGAAAACATGAGATATATTACTGTAAAGTAAAAACTTGGGATGTGAAGTTGCCCTGTGTCCTGTAAAAAGGATAATAGCAATTTTCTGGATATTGTGGAGGCACCCACAGGTCAGTTACTGCAAAATATTGGATCCTGGTTCCTCTTAGCGGAGGGAAAGAAGTGCAAATGTTCTGAGATTTTAGAATCCCTAAAGACGAAAGAATTATATAGTAAAGAGCAGACGTCACTCTGGGAGCGTAACATTGTCAATAATATGTCAGCCAACAAAAATAACTTGGGAGATTTAGGCAAAAACATTACAACTTTGTTTTCCATCAAACTAAAGCAGGGTTTGAAAATTTTTTAAATTTTCGATTAAATGATAAGACGTGTTAGTGGAAAGATGATATTTTAGAATTGTAAGCAATAAACTTAACTAATAACATAATTATTTTGATTTTTCATGTGACTTTGCTCATCTGTTCACATTTTGTATGGTTGACATCTGAGTACATATCTGCTTTTTGACTTTTGGCTGTTTTCATTTAATAGTATTTATTGGTAAGACTTAAAACGTTTTTGCATAATTTTCATATTCTTTTTAATAGCAGCATGGCATTCATATGGTTGGCTATGCCTTTCTTTAATAAGACATCTCTCTAAAAATGAGCATTTAAATTGATAACAATTTTTCCTCTGGTAGCTAGCACTGAAATGTGCATTTTTGTTTGTGTATGTCGTTTTGTTTCTATTGATTTATTTCTTAGGGAAAAATACTATACTTAATTTGCTAAGTCAAAGGATATGAAATTCTTTATGGTTTTTGCTACATGTTGGCATGTTGCTTTTCAAGGGCACTGTAGCTGTGTGTTTCACTAGCAGTGAATGAATGTATAGGTACTAGTTTTATCATGGTCTTGGCAGCATTGGATGTTGGAGCATTTATATTTTGTGCTGTTTTAGTAGGTACTTAATCATGTTATTTAAAATGGCAAGATATTTTAAATATTATTTAGCATAATCTCATTTTTACAGATGACACAGAGATGTAGAGAAGTTAAGTGATTTTTTCAGTTTCATAGTGGCAGAGTTGGTTCTAAATCCAGATCTTTTCGCTTATGTCTTTTTTCTCTACAATAATCTCTTTATTTTAGCAACTTTCATCCATGAACTATTAGCAGTTAAAATTATTGTTGGTAAATCTTGAGAGTTTTGAACTAGTCTGTGTCAATGGAATTTCAACACAGAAATTATCGAGCTGCGTTGACAATGTTGATTTTTAAAGGAAGACAACAGCACTGTGGGAAGTGTTTATAGAAATGGAGGACAGGTTAGGGCTGGTTATAATCTTGTTTAGCCACTGACCTTGGGAAACTGAGTTAACCTTCCTTTTCCCCTTGGTTTCCCTCTGCAGGACGAAGGATTAATACTACTTGTCTTTCTGGATTGTTGTGTAGATTAATCAGTAAATGATTGCTGCTAGTAAGTTTTTGTGGGCCATTAATAACTGAATGGGGAATGTGCCAAATGAACCATCAAAATATATTTAAAGGGTAAAAAGAAGAGGCCAGAGGAATTATTTAGTAGATCAGAAGTAAACACTGGGAGATTTTATAAGGGAAAGTACTCCATAAATGGAAATGTGTCATAACTAAGGAAATACAATGATAAGGAAATAAAATGCCAAGGCACAGCTGCATGGTCAGTGCCTTCTCTTCCTATTTCCCCTATGATCTGGTGAGACAGGAGGAAGAGGTTTCAGCATGGGTTGCAGAATGTGAGATCGAAGGGAGCCCTGGGATATGGTTAGAGAAGTTGGGATCCCATAGAGAAGGCCAAGAATAGCTCACTGTTACCCAGGCAACCTCATGGTGCTCAGAGGGTAAGAGATGGTGTGTGATAACACTCTACCACTTGGCTCAATGAGGACCCTTTCTGAAAGGGTGCTTCTAGCAGCAGCTGCCAGGTGGCCTGGCAGAGTGGAGTCAGAGGTCAGATCAATCTAGGGTTTTAGGGCTTTTTCCATAATAGGGCATCCGACTGTCAGTGGGGCATGGGTCTCACAGATTTGGTAGGCATTTGGAGTCCACTGAATCTCTGATTTCTGGCTTTCTACTCTAGTGTAGACTACCCTGATTATTGAAAACAACCTGACTGTCCCCCAAGCTCCTTTATTCTGTCTCTGAGCTAAGTTGTTTCTACTATAGGCCAGGCACTCCCTCTATACCTGTAACATCCTTCTGAAGTTGCTAATGTTATCCCCATTTTACCCAAGGTCATTTAGTATGTAAGAAGCTCATAGTGGCTGAGTATCCACCCAAGTACACTCAGCTAGTAGACATGGGGCTGTCTGACTCCAAAGTGTGAGCCCTTTTCCTTTGTCATTCTGTGATATTATGACAGGGCTTGTGGCATCTGGAAGCATGCACATTTGAAGCTTGTACTAGAAAGTGCTGTAGCTTCTGGCAGCTTCATGTGGAAGTTGAGTAGCTGTTTGGCTATGTGCTAATATTGCACGTATTTGAAAGATGTGTTTAAGCTCTGCCCATCTTAAATCTCACCCTTGACTTAGCAACTGCAAGGCCAGGGAATCCCATCATGAGTTCTTTGTTGGTTCAGAGATGATGATCCCTGGTTAATCTGTACATATGTCACCTAGTAGGAGTAACAGGCAAAGTCATTAACATGCGTAATTTATCAGATAATCGAGCACAGCTTCATCTTAGGTCATAAGAAGATTGAACTCAAACCAGATATCACTACAGGATGGAAGGGGAGTATAACATGTAATGATTATGAGCAACTGGGAAGACCCAGCCAGTTTTGAATTCACTACCTTTGTTAAGTTGTGTAAACTCTCAAGCCTTGATTTGCTCATTTCCAAAATGGGCATCATAATGATAATACACCTTACGGTGGTTGTGAGGATATGCTCTGTGATAAAGCTCATACTGTTCTTAGAACAACCTCTGGCCTGTATACAACTTTCAACTAATAGAGTAGAGGAAACCAACAGAGCCAGTGGCATAGAATCCCAAAAGCAGAAGTTAAAAGGAGCTGGCCCTGGGCATTTAAAGAGGGATCCAGAGTGTAAAGAGGGAGCACCAAAATGTATAAAAATGAGCCTCCCTTATAACAGTGACACTAACCAGACAGAATGTTAGGACAGGAAGAGACCTTGAAGGCCATGGAGTCCTACCTCCTAATCTGATAGAAGTGGAAACTGAGACTGGAGAGATTTAATGAATTGTCCACGGTTTCGCAGATAATTAATAGCCAAGTTGGGATAGAATTTGGATGGGGCAGGATGGGGTGGGTGAACTAACATGTATTAACATGTATTGTCTATGGGAGGTAAGGTCCAGATGCTGTACCCCTGCATTACATGTGTCATTTCATACAACCCCCACAATAACTTGTGAAGTAGGTATTATTAGCTTCCTTTTAACGTGTGAGGAAACTGAGCCTTGGTGAACTTAACAGTTCAGCAGTGACCTCAGGATTTGGACTTACGTCCATCAGACTCCAATTTCCAAGTGTATTTCCTTACCTCTCTTCCCAGAGTGGGGCTTGAAATCTGTTGGAGGAACTACATCCTGGGTAAAACCATGGTTCTTCGAATAACTGCCTCCTTTTAACACAAGTACTTACACGTACATATGTTCAGGGCCTAAGGTGGTTTATTTCCTGAGAAAGCTGTTTTGTGGCACAGCCTCTCTACGTAAGCTGGCCGATGGAAGAGCATTATGAGGTAGGGAAGTATTCTCCCCATTTGGTGTAGACAACTTTGGTGAGTTACAACAAAGCAAATACCCGTAAAGAATTCTACAGATGCAGCCAGTCATGTAAGCTCCAAAGAACAGTCTAAATTATGTTATGACATTAGCATTTCATTGACCAGTCCTGGAAATGAGTAGCTACTGATGGTAGCCTGGAAATATCGTCTTTTTGGGCAAGCATTTCCCACTTATGAACACTTGAAATGATCAGGATATTCTAAAAACTGCAGCTACCACCGCATTGGCCCCTTTCCTCCCAAATCTCTACCATGGATTGGGGAATGAAACTTTGAATCCCTATATCAGACAGCTGGAGGGAGTGACAGAGCCCCTGTTTTCCATCTCTCCCCAGTCTGGCTAATCAGACATCCCAGTCCTCCATTTGCCCAGACAACCTGTGCCTCTCTTCACCTGGCTGCTGCCCGTAGTGCTGTCTTCAGGGCATCTAGTCTAGGGTCAGAGGGACAAGTGGCTTCTTATTGTCAAAGATTTATTGCCAGAGTATATGGAGAGAGGTACAGATGAATCCTTCTTAAAGAAATACTTTTTAAAGTGATAGTCAGCTCCTATTGTCTCATTAACATTTTAGCTAAGATGTGTTCTAGGTAAGCCATGAATAGGCTTTGGTGAGTTGAACTGGGACCCTGCCACCTAATAGTTAATAACATTTTCCTTCTTATCTTAGCAAAAATGCATACCAATCCCAGACTTGGCTTAAAAATAAACTTGTGAACTAGATAAAGTACCTGTCAGTTAAAATGTGATTATTTTTATTGCCTTGAACATCAGTGGCTTCTAATACCACATTCTCTAAAGGTACATTTTGCAAGGCCTCTTACCATGTGTGTTCTTCCTGCACGTTGGCCCTGTGTTCCTTCCACCTGTGCTTCTTTGAGATTACTTACTGTTCCCTCAATTTTGTCCCTGTTGTGCTTTCATCTTCAGAATACTTTTGGTAGCCTTCTTGAATATTGCAGTTTATGCTCATGGATGCTACACAAATAGGCATTAGAAGATCTCATCGTTTGATTGCACATCCACCTTCTTATTTCTGATTTTCCCTTATGCCCATACCCAGTTTCTTCCCATTTTTCAAATGCAACATGTCCCTTCACACCTCTTTCCCTTTGAAAACGCTGTTCCCACTTCCTGGAATGACCGTCTCTAGGAGAACTCATCCTTTATGACAGATTCTCTTTCACAGTAAGCTACTTTCCTTAACACATCAGTCACCAGTCTGTGCATCCCTTCCCATGGCTATGCCATTGTTTACTTGTTTCTCTGCCCTACCAGACAGCAGTGTGCATAATGAGTGCTCTTGGTATGCCTGGTTCTGAGTATAGGGCCTGGAACATTGTTGGTGTACACAAATGTTTGTTGAATCATTGAGTGAGTGGATGAACATAAAGGTACAAGATGTTTTTTCCTGCCTCCGCTTTTGGCCAAACTTTAAAATTATGTATGTATAGTGCCTAATCCTTCCCTCCCCTTCCTTTTTCTTTTATTCTCAAAGAACTTATAATATCCCATTGGCTGTTGTTGTTGATTCCTATATACTGTGCAGAAATAAGAAGGGTATATTGTTGCTGTTGAGTTTCCCACTTTATAATTAGAAAGGCAGAGTTTTTGGGTGGTCTATTCTTTCAGTCAAAAGTTTACGTATAACAATCCAGTCAGTCAAAAATTCCTTTTAACACAGCATCATTGCCATGAACTTTTAATTATGGCCTTTCAATTATGGCCTTTCTTTGGTCTGGATTGTCATTTAATAGTTCCGAGCTTCAGTTTCTCCAGCCCTAAAAGGGAGAACAAAAATGCTTCAAGGAAAATCTCAAGAAGAGGGTCATTCATATTTGTAAGAGCATTTTGTTAGACATGGCTGTAACAGAGTGTGACTGTAACCAACATCCCAGATTGCAGACATACAAATCAATTTTTGCCTCTCTCAGAAGACTATATTCCCTTTCTAGTGATCCTGCTATTGGCCCAAAGTTTTGGAGCTGGTCTTTAGGAAAAACCTTCACCGCCAAGGCTGTTTATTTTATTCTTATAATATATGTTATACATGTGCATTCCTTTTAACTTAGAGATAAGTGAAAAGAAGAAAACAAAATTACCTATGAACAGATGTAACTACTGTTAACATTAGTGTGAATTCATGTAGAATGTCTTCTATAAATACACACACACACACACACACAAATATCTTTTGCCAAAATATAAGTCTTACAGTTGTATTGCTTTGTAGTCTCTTTTTCATCTTAACGATATATTATGAACCACTTTTCACATCACTGAATGTGGTTAAAATACTTTTTCCCAAGAAGAATACTTTCATTGTAAGATACACATAACATTATAAAAATCCAAATATTTGATGTGTGTAAAGTATAAAATATACATTCCTCCATAATTATATTTCCAAAGTAATTACTTACTATTTGATGTATAACATTTCAAAATTTTTTCTACTTTCTGTTTCTTTTTATAATATCCTCAATAGCAGGAAATCTTCACCCATTTAGGGTCTTTATTAAGGACTATTTTTTAAAATTGATAAAACTATGAGTGTAATCTTGTAACTTAAAAAATGAACACATCATGCTCTGTGTCAGCATAGCATTCTGTTGTACTGATGCACTTTTTATTTAGCTAGATCTCTTGCTAGATACATAAGGTATTTCCATTCTTTTATTATTCTACTTGCACTGAAGTGATGAACATCTTTCTTGCTCTCTCTTTGCAAACATCCTTAATTATATTCATAGGATATATTCCTAGAAGTAGAATTGTTTCTTCAGATGATGTGTATTTTTAAAAAATTATGTATTATCAAATTTCTCTTCATAAAGATTGCAATTTCTCCATGATACTCTCAGTAGTATTTGAGAGTCCGTGTCACATATTTTTGGGTACCCTCAGTGGCAGCAAATCTTCACCCTTTAAAGGGTTTTAAAAGATGACGATAGCTGGATGCAGTGGCACACACTTGTAGTTTGAGCTACTTTGAGGTTGAAGCCTAAGGATCACTTGAGCCCAGGAGTTCGAGACCAACCTGGGCAGCATAGTGAGACCCTGTCTCAATTATAAATAAATAAATAAAAACCTGTAAACGATTTTCTAATTATGAAAGCTCACATGTTCATTGTAAAAACATGTAAACAATGAGGCCAGGCACGGTGGCTCACGCCTATAATCCCAGCACTTTGGGAGCCAAAGAGGGTGGATCACTTGAGGTCAGGAGTTTGAGACCAGCGTGGGCAACATGGCAAAACCCTGTCTCTACTAAAAAAATACAAAAATTAGTCAGGTGTGGTGGTGTGTGCCTATAGCTCCAGCTACTCAAAAGACTGAGGCATGAGAATCACCTGAACCCGGGAGGCAGAGGTTGCAGTGAGCCAAGATCGTGCTACTGCACTCTAGCCTGGGCAACAGAGCGAGACTCCGTCTGAAAAAAAAAGAAAGTAAATAGTGATACAGAAAAAAATTAAAATTGCCAATATATCCTATAAAGCTCACATGTAACTACTGTTAATGGCTGGTGTGTATCCTGTGGTGTGGTAGATGTGCATGTGTGTGTGTGTGTATTGTGTATAAAAAGGCAGTGTGGTATTAGGTTACAAGCATGAGTATTGGATTGAGCCTGCCTATATTTAAATCCTGGTTTCAACATTATTAATTCTGTGATCTTCAATGTATTCATTTGTAAAAGGAGACTTATTAATGCTTAGTGTATCCAGCCTCTAAAGATTGCTGTGAAGTTAAGTAAGATAAAGGAGACCCAATGTGTACAAGTAGTGAATGGTCAGGAAATGTTATTTGCTGCTGTGACATTTTCCGAGCATGCTGTGCAGTGACAGCTCTTTCATGCTCTGTTGTTGAGGTTCTGTTACTCCTGGGGAGGGCAGGAATTGGAGAGACAGGGGGAGGGGAGAACTTGGAGAAGGTGGCCCTGAAGTCTCTTGTGTCATAGCGACCTGCTGGCCTGTGGCCCACTCTGCCTGTGCAACAGAGAAAACGGTGACACAGTGGCCCTACCTGGCCACCAGAAACCTGATGCTGTCCCCTTCCAAGTACCCCAGACCAAACTTACATAGACCTCTCCTTAGACTCTGATTAACATCTGAACCACAGAAGCAGGGCAGCAGGGCCTCTCCTTTCCCTTTCCCTCTTCCCCATTTCCTGTCCTCTCCCCTCTGTTCCCCTCTTTATTCTGACCCACTCTCTCTCCCCTCCAGCGTCACCACCCCTCCTTCCAGAAACCACCCTTGCCCACCGGCTCCTGTCTTAACAATCTCCAGCACCAGGCTTTATTCACCAGGTTACCAAGGGCAGTTTTTAATTAAAAAAAAAAAAAACAACTCTTTCACATAATACTTTCCAGGCATGGTTCACACATTTAAGATTTCTGATTTTTTGAAACAATAAAAAATATTAGGAACTGGAGCTGGTGAACTGGGCAAGGTAGGAGATGCCATTTTAAATAGAAAATAGAGGCCGGGCGCGGTGGCTCACACCTGTAATCCCAGCACTTTGGGAGGCCGAGACGGGCGGATCACGAGGTCAGGAGATCGAGACCATCTTGGCTAACACGGTGAAACCCCGTCTCTACTGAAAAAATACAAAAAAAAATTAGCTGGGCGTGGTGGTGGGCGCCTGTAGTCCCAGCTACTCCGAGAGGCTGAGGCA
The DNA here is from genome assembly GCF_000001405.40 of Homo sapiens. Taxonomy (NCBI): domain Eukaryota; kingdom Metazoa; phylum Chordata; class Mammalia; order Primates; family Hominidae; genus Homo; species Homo sapiens. Next base: position 30,527,035 of record NC_000011.10, on the reverse strand, counting down.
GGGCAATGGCGTGAACCTGGGAGGCGGAGCTTGCAGTGAGCCGAGATCACGCCACTGCACTCTAGCCTGGGCCACTGCACTGTAGCCTGGGCGACAGAGGGAGACTCCATCTCAAAAAAATAAAAAATTAAAAAAATAAAAAAAAATAGAAAATAGAGATTGATACCTGGCAACTTTTCTCTAGTAAAGTACCTGGCACTTCCCAAAGAATCACTTCAGAAAGGATTTGAGCAGAGCAGCCTCACTGGAATGTTTATAGTCATGCAAGTTTATGATTACCTAACAGTCATATCTAATAAAGAGGTAAAGGTAGGAGCCTTTTTTTTTTTTTTGAGATTTATTCTTGCTCTGTAGCCCAGGCTGGAGTGCAGTGGCACGATTTCGACTCACTGCAACCTCCACCAGGTAGAAGGCTTTAGGAAGGGCAGATAAGATTAACTCTTCCTATGATTTACAAAGGAGAATATGCCAGAGGTTTCCCTAGAGTCAAGATCTCTGATTCTTACTGTTGAGAGTTTAATACTCAAGTAGTTTCTTAATCTTTAGCTTGTTCACAAAAACAGTATCTAAAATGCTATACTTTTAAGTTTTTGATTCATAATTTGGTTTTCCTAGCAACCATCCTAGAGTTATGATTTATTGAAAGCTTCTCTTTCTAGTTCAAGAAATCCACTTAGGGTCCTTTTTTCTATTTTTTTTTCTTTCCCCTTTCTCATCATCATTGTTGTCCTTGTCGTGGTGTGTAATTCTAGGATTTCAGTAGGTGTCTATGAGTTGCCTGTATGTTCTATCAGGTAGCTGTAACACAGCTTGTTTTGTCTGTAATAGTACAGGATAAGAGTATTTGCTTAATACAAGTAACAGTTGATTCATGCTTATTATCTGTGTGTCTTTCTTTACATTGAATAATTTTTTTCCTATATGAATTACTTCATGGTCTAATTCATATAAAAGTGCATCTTTCCAATAAGGACAAAATTAAAGTGTAGTTCAATTTTGATAACAGAATTAAGTAAAGTACTTGGGGGAAAATAATGAACCCAAACACAGCATAGTTGAATATGCTCAAATAAGTAAGATTGGATTTTGTTCCATTAGAAAGGATCATTAGTGACCTGAGGACAAGATGACTAGGTCTTTTGTGATCCATGTGAACCCAATCCTCTGTGTTATGGGCAGCCATTTTCTTAAATTACATAAATTATTATGCCTTTAATTTATATGACATCTTTCCTCCAAAGGACTCAAAGTACCTTTTGAGTATATTAGATCATTAATGCTTATATTGTTTCAGGGGAGTTGATATGGGCAGATAGTATTATCTCTGTCTTACTGATGGATGGGTGGAGATCCAGAAAGGTGGAAGGACAGGCTGGGTCACATTGGAGCCACCATTAGAGCTGAAGTCACTGAGTTGACTCTGTGTTCCAGCCTTCAATTCTTAAGCTTCCTACTTTCTCCTTTCCTGAAATCTCCCCATCTCCTAAAGAGAAAAAAACATAGGCAAGACATACATAATTATTACTTCATCAGCTTAGCAGAAAAGCCAGGAAAGCACTTTCCTGAAAAGGGTGACCTTTTAGGAATTTTACTGTATGAAAATTGTATCACTGTTAAACAAAATAAAAAAGCGGCTCTTTGAAAACAAAAAAGTTCTCAACTTTTCCAAACTATCTGGTCCAAGAGGAAACACTGAAGCCCCCTAAATCCTAGAGCAGGACTCTTGTGTCCTAGCACATGAAGAGACTTCATCCTCAGAAGATTATTTGTGTATATTCTAAGTGTCTCCTGAGGGCCAGGTTACTGCTTTGTGGGAGGCACTGAGAATGCAGAAGCAAAGTCACTGCATTTAGCATCCAGTCTCTGATTGTCATTATTTTTTCCCCATTTTGTAAATGAGGCAGCTAGAACTCAGAGAGTTCAAAGATCTTGCCCAATTTTGCACAGATTTGTCAGTGGGAGGCCTAGGACTGGGGGCTTTGTCTTTCCTTCTGATATGATGACATTTCTCATCATAGGGTAAGTCTGCCTATCAAAACCTAGGAGATTATTCTAATTATTTGAGGTTTTATTGTTAGAATGGAGTGCTGGTTTTATCTTAATCATTCCCTCTTTCCAAATACTTGCATCTAACTGGAGACCAGATATTTTGACATAGATGGTAGAAAGTACACAGACACCTCAAAACCAATAATACCTCAAACTGAAATATATCGCCTCCAAATATTGCTTGTTCTTTTAAATTCCCCTTTTGACTCACAGTACCATTAATCCAGGTACCTGAACCTCCTGGAACTATGACTACATTTTATTCATTTCACTTCCTGAGTGTCTTTCTGACCTCTATGGTGCCTAAAAAGACTGCCAAACCCCAACTTGCCATTCATCTCTCCTGGAATCCCCCAATAATAATATCTAACACTTGTTGATCACCCACTATAGCCTGACCCTCTACCTGCATTAACTCATTTAATCCTCACAACACTCTGAGGCTGGTTGATGCTGTTATCACCATTTTTACTGATGAAGACTTGGTATCTCTTTGTTATGGGCCCTCCCAACATACTGATATTTTTGTGGAATGCATTTTAGGAACCATGAACAGATGGAATGGAGTCTACTGTGGTATTCAGAGCTCTTCATGAACTGGTCCAACCTATCTGTCCACCTTAATTTCCCACCACACTTCTCTCTGGCCTCTCCCTCACTCTTTGGACTTGTGTGTTACTGTTTTCTCCCCTGTTCTCTCTCTTATTTTTATTTTTTATTTTTTTCCTTTTTTGAGACAGAGTCTCACTCTTGTCGCCCAGGCTGGAGTGCAATGGCGCTATCTCAGCTCACTGCAACCTCCGCCTCCCAGACTCAAGCGATTCTCCTGCCTCAGCCTCCCACTGAGTAGCTGGAATTACAGGCACTGGTCATCATGCCGAGCTAATTTTTGTATTTTTAGTAGAGACAGGTTTCACCATGTTGGCCAGACTGGTCATGAACTCCTGACCTCAGGTGATCCACCTGCCTCAGCCTCCCAAAGTGCTGGGATTACAGGCATGAGCCACCGCGCCCAGCCCCTTGTTCTCTCTTCTTGACCACAGCAACTTTCCGGTCCAAGTTTGTTCCCACCTCGAACTTTTGTACTTAATCATCTCTTCAGTCTGTCAATTTCTGCTCAAATGCCACCTCTTTGGTGAGGTCTTCTTATTTTACCTCTTTCTGCATATCCTTCTTTGTTGTTAGTTTTCCTCCGCTGAATGCTAGCTCTGCATGCCTGTAATCCCAGCTACTTGGGAGGCTGAGGCAGGAGAATTGCTTGAACCTGGGATGTGGAGGTTGCGGTGAGCTGAGATCACGCCACTGCACTCCAGTCTGGGCAACAAGAGCGAAACTCCGTCTCAAAAAAAAAAAAAAAAAAAAAAAGATGTGTTGCTTCCCTGGGCTTCAGCCCCCTCTTTTCTACAACAAGGGGAAGTTGTCACAGAGTCGTGAGGATGAAATTGAAGGCGCCTTATTGGAAGATGTCAAATGTCATGTAAATGTTAGACATGATCATTTTGTTGTTAATATCCTGTCCTATCCCTCATTGCCCTAGGTAGGAGGCCTCCCAATGCATTTCCAGTCCCTGCAACAGGTTTCTGGATAAGGATAGTCATCCTTATACCAACGTGGCATTTGGTTTGGCTTTGAACTTCCCAGTACTCCATAGATCACTTTCATCTTAATTTCCCACCTCCCCCCAGCCTGCCTGTATATTGTTTCCAGGAATCTTGATTCCATCTGTCCCCTGGGTTTTTGAATGCCATTTTCCTGGCCCTTCAAGCTGTATGGAGAGTCATTTCCGCTTCCAGTCTATCACTGGACTCACTAATTCTTGATGTTTGCCACCCGCCCCCACCTTTGACTGATAAATTTTCATTATTGGTTTTGCGTGAAAGTCTTCAGGGCTCTACTCTGCCTGACCCCTGTGGTCACTTAGTGATTACATGTGCCAGCTGAGGTAATTTATTCACTTTGTTTTGGTGTGAACATGTCCCATGGGGCTTGTAACTGCTGTAATCACTTGACCCTAGTGATTGTTAAATGCTTTAAACACAGTTATTTTAAATTTATAATTGTTTTCATTAAAAATCCCTTATAGTAACTTAACTGACCTTGCTGTCAATGTGGCGTTATGTGCAGGGGGAGGAAATGAAAATATTATGATGCAAATAATATAGTACTCATCAGAGATATGTGGCAAATCATTAGCTCACTCCACACATTCTCACTTGGAGTCCTGCAAGGAAGATGAAAGGGAAGACGACATAATTATAGCACTGTCCACGTAATTCAATGCAGCCATTCCCACACGCAGGGCAGGCCACTAGCCTAGAGAGGTGAAAGTGGAGTGGAGCCCAAGGTTAAGTCCCAGAAGAGCCTCGCATCAGGCCTGTTAAATGTGTAGACAGCACTTCTCACACTGGTGGGCGGCCTCCATTGATTAATTATTTTTTAATTAATATTTCTTCAAGTTTCAGGAAAGTTGCAAGAATAATACAATGAACACTCATATACCCGTCACACAGATTTCCCCAACTGTTAATGTTTTGCTACATTTGCTTTATTATTCTCTTTCTAGGTGTGTGTGTGTGTGTGTGTGTGTGTGTGTGTGTGTATGTTTTCCTGAAGCATTTGAGTTTAAGTCATAGACATCATGCCCCTTTACCCTAAATATTTCAATGTATCTTTCCTAAGAACATGGATATTCATTTACATGAGCTCACTACAGTTATCAAAATCAAGAAATATAAATTAATACAACTGTTATGTAATCTATAGACCTTTTTCATATTTTTCCAGTTGTCTTAATCATGCCATTTATGACATTTTTTTTTCTATTCCAGGCTTCTATACAGAATCATGCACTGCAGTCAGTTTTAAAACTCAAACCAAATCAAAACACTGTTTCTTACTTTGTTGCCTTAAGGAATAAGGATTTCTTAATGGAAACTTGGTCCTATGAAATTAGGATTTGGACCTACATTTCTAATAATCATGAGAATTGCTGTATATTAAGTGACAAGACACCACACTAGGTGTGTATTTTGCAAACACATTTATCTCATTCAGCCCGCCCAGCAAACATACAAGGAAGTTATTCTTGATCTGCAGCTCCAGATGCTGCAACTCAGAGAGGTCACCATGCTCTGGGTCACAGAGCTCCAAGGGGCAGTATCTATGTCCCACATCCTGCATTCTTCTGCGGCATACAAGAAGGGTGGGACTCCAGGATCCTGGAGACTAGTAGCCACGTGGAAACGACTGATGTTATATTTGTTTCATTTCTAGTTTTTACATTTTACTGGCAAAGGTCAGAAGATATATTTACATTAGAAAGTTACCTAATATGTATTTTGACTTCAAAAGATACGGCGTGGTGTCCTGATTAATTTTAACAATTAATGAAATTTGTAACAAATGTCAAATAAACTAGGTTTGTTTAATGGAATGCTGCTAGACTGCTGACCAGAAAGTGCTAAATAATGAAATCCAAAGAGCCTTGATAACCTGGCTTGTGGTACTGGACACTTGGATGTTGAGATACTCTGTGTGTTTCTGGCCTGGCTGTTAGTCCTTGTGGAAACTTGAAGTCATGTTCCAGAGTTGTGAATTGAATGGCCCTTACAAAGGCGTTTGATTAGCAAGCTTTCGTAATTTAGCCTAAATGGGGCTGGTGGGGATGATTCAGTTCCAGACATATGGTTACATCCCTATATTTGGTTTTGGTTTTGTTTATTCTTGTTTTTTTTCTTTCCTTTCTGTTTTATTCCTAAATCCAGGATTTCTGTGAATACTGGATTCACAAAATGAAGAATATACAATGAAAATACTAAAATATCAGTTAGGTTTCCTAAATCTCCCCCCAAATTCATAAATTACAGCTAACTATTCTAGCATTCCTCCTAGTAGCCCCAGTACTATTATTACTATTACTAGCACTACCACCACCATCACCACCACTTGGAGAAGGAAGTGGGGATAGTTGTGCATTTTCATTTAAAAATTTTCAGTATTTTTCCAATATGTTATTTCTGGTTGGGGCTGCTGCTTATCTGTAAAGTGCTTTTCTACAAAGTGTAAAGAGGAGTCCCCTGGGCCTGGTGGGTACATACTCGGTGAATGGCAGATAGCTCCCACTTACCCCCTTGGCTGCTACTCTTCTTGTACAGTGAACAACCTTTGCAACCAAAATTAAAAGTCATTTCTTCCAACATAATTATTTTCTGGAACATCATAAAATTCTCCCCTATTTTTTAACGTAAAAAGTGACATTTTGACTAAGGAAATTGATAATTATTTTAAGAAATGATGTATGTTTTATAGGCTATTTATTACAAATGCTAAAATTAAATGCTGTAAATACTCCCTTCATTTCCAAATACTTACTGTATATGAAAATGACATATAAGACAATATCAAAAAGTCATAGGTGACAAATAAAAATAAATGCTAGCACAAAACATTAACCAAAGATAGGTAATAAAAAGTGAAAAGAAAGGCAAACAAAAGGAAGTCTTCTGTTTTGATTTGTCCCCCAAATGAACATTCTTTTTGTTTGCCTTATTTTAGCATTTATGTAGGGAAAAAATGACTTAATTTTGGTTACATTGCCTGAATTTCCCAGCTTTTGTCACATCCGGAATTTGTGTTAATGCCATATTTATAGTACACCCTAAATGAATAATTAAGCAGCTAACTATAACATGCATTATTGATCTATCATAGATGTTATTGCAGCAAGTTTTGTGTACATTATGAAACTGGGGTAAACTTTTTTTACATTTTTTACATTTTTTTTAGCTGTTCAAATTTTAAGAGCAGGAAAGAAGCAGCATTCTTTTTTTCTAATTTCAGGATAAACGTGTACAATTAAACTGTGTTGTCTCCCTTCTCGCTGCCGTTTTTATGAATCTCACTTATCCTTCTTTGTTTGGAAATTAGGAGGTAAAGCTCCTTTTGGTTTTGAAGAGACTGTACTTGCCTGTGAGGGCAGACATCTAACTATAAAATATACAACCTCTGAGCTTTGATTTGTCTGTAAAATGTTGAGAACAATGTTAGGAAGTTCTTCACTTGCTGACTCTAAATTAATCCTATTCCCTAGTCGTTTGAGACTCAGTGCCCACCAAGTCCTGTATAGTTCTTCCCTTTATTACCTCAATTTAGAATTGTTAATCAACCAAGAGCATATAATAATGTTAGTGGTGGTGATGGTGATGGTAGTGGTAGTAATAGTAATAATAGTACTGGGGTTACTAGTAGGAATACCAGAATAGTTAGCTGTAATTTAGGAATTTAGGAAACCTAACTGATATTTTAGTATTTTCATTGTGTATTCTTCATTTTGTGAATCCATTATTCATAGAAATCCTGGATTTAGGAAGCAATGTAACCACAGAGCCTGAAAATGTTTGTGTATATATAGACACATATATATATCTCCTTAACATCATTTTTTATGATTTTACACTCATATATATGTGTATCCTAGCATTCCTACTGGTAGCTCCAGTACTATTATTACTATTACTACCACTACCACCACCATCAGTACTATTATATGTGTATATTTTATAGGCTATTACAAATGCTAAAATCACACCCACACATATATATGTGTATATATATGAGTGTGTGTATATATATATGCACATACATATTCATGTATACACACCCACACACACATACTTTTTTGTGTGTGTACGTATATATTTTGTTTGTTTGTTTGCTTTTGAGACAGGATCTTGCTCTGTTTCCCAGGCTGGAGTGCAGTGGTATGATCACCACTTACTGTAACCTCTGCCTCTTGGGCTCAAGCAATTCTCCCAAGTAGCTGGGACCATAATTTTACACCACCATGCCTGGCTAATATTTTAATTTTTTGTAGAGATGGGGATTTCTCTATGTTCCTTAGGCTGGTCTCGAACTCCTGGCCTCAAATGATCCTCCCGCCCCGGCCTTTCAAAGTGCTAGAATTAAAGGTGTGAGCCACCATGCCTGGCCCTGAATGTGATTTTATATATGAATTCCAAAATGAATATTTTAAGCATACACATTTAATACTATGAAAGTGAGTAAACTAATAATTTGCCTATAAAAATAGATAGAAACAAAAAATGCAAAACCAAAATGTATGTCTTTTGTAACGCATCTGGAGATTTTGTCCTTTGAAAAGGCCACACAAGAGTTAAGGGTGGTGGGAAGGCAGGAAGGACTTCTATCTTCACAGTCCTGTGCATACGCAGCTCCTAGTCCAGTTAAAGCCTTCTTATCCAACCTGACAAGGAAAGAAAAGTGTTCAGTTCATCAAAAAAGTCAGCTAACGTAGGAACCCATACAAATGATAATCATATAGCTAAATAGTTTTATTTTAATGTGAAGCATAAGATGTGCATGCTTTGGTCAGTGTCCTGAGGTAGAACTGAAGCCTTCCCTTTAAGTATGGACACAGTGATTATAGGTCAGCACTGTCTTTCTTGGGTAAATCACACATTTAATTTCTCATCTTTATTAAAAACGTATCACATTTTCATTTTGGCATATTTATTGGTGAACATAAAGATGCTTGTGAAACAATCTGAGTGCAGAATCTTTCTAGAATGCTATGATTTTTAAAGTCATTTATAATTACATGAGATGATTACATTAAAAAATACAGCTGGATAAACTGGTTTGGAGATAAACAGAGGTGGCTCTAGGACAACTGTGCATGGAGCAGAAGAGCACAGGTGACTATTAGAGACAGCCCCTGGCTGCTGTTAGTGGGTGCATGTTGGGCAGCAGACAGTATGTGTCTCAGAGAGGCTGGAGACTGTCGGTTAAAAGAGTGTCTAGAATATCTAGAAAGATCCTAAGCAGAGACTGTGTGTGGTTCTTGGTAGCTGTTCTGTGGCTCATAATCTACCATAAACTCTTGTAGTAGTTCTCAGATCTAATGTTTGATTTCTTTGCCTGCCTGGGAATTGTTTTTTTAAAAATGTCATGGATATAGTTCAGTAATAGTGTGAATTTGTTGTTCACAAGTCAGTGTACATGGTGAGTTCCTCGTTTTTACCATAAGTAAACCAAAATGCATCGCAGAGTAAGAATTCATAGTATAAGGTATCAGAGAGGAACTTAAATTTTAAGAAGGGTTTTATTTCTTAGAAATAGTTTATACATGATTTTACTAAGGTAATTATGGAGACTCCTTCTCCCATGACAGAAGGAGGAAAGATCAAGAAGCTTGGCATGGCAGTTCTTTCTTCGTCCTTTGGTAGTTCTTTTCATCAGGGCCAGAGGGGTTGAAGTATGAGGGTGTCCGTGCTTACAGGACAAGCTCTTTCCCTTCTCATTAGTACCCTGTTCCATTGCCTAAAGAGAGAGAAACATGCAGGATGAGGAAGGACACGTCCCAGACACATAGGCCTACACTTTAGCAGCGTTACTACGTCTTCTCGACGTGGATAGTCCAGAATTTCTGAAGTGTGATTGGTTCATCAAATATATAGTATATAGTGTTCTGTCCATTCATTTGTAAAATATAACAAAGCTCCTCAATATTGTTGGTTTAAAAAATGTCTTTTACCGTATACATAGGCTTGAATCTACCTTGTTAAAAATTTTGTGCTTGTGATTATTAGGGAAATATGCCCAGTGTTCATAAAAGTGTTTGTGTATGCCCTGGCATGGAATATAGATATACACCGACTAACAATAGCTATAAAAATGAAATCTTGCACAGAGCTGTGCCCTGCCTTCCCAGTCAGCAGTAACAATGCTTTTGGAGTTGAAGGGAAGCTTTTCCACTGGGGAGATATATGGGGAGTATGGGGGGATAGCAGCTTAAGAAATGGGGAGGGAGAAGTGCTGCAAATTTTAGTATAATGCATAATGTTGAAAGAAATTCTATCCCATCATAAAGATTAGCAGGCTGTGTAATTCAATTTAAAATTGGTTGGCGTGTCCTGACTATTATAAAGCCTTTCCTTTTTTTGTTGTTGTTTTATCGCCATTCCATTATTTGATGTCATATACCAATACAGAATGGAGCATACAGCCAACCCATCCATACAGGGTCTCTTTCCACATTTGCATCCATTGGAGAAATTGTTGGGGAATGTAAGAGTTTATCTTAAAATGAATTAAGAAAATGCTTGCTCAATTGAATGCCTCCTTGTTTTCTTTCTTTCTTCTTTCTTTTTTTTAACACAAAATGAATTTCTTCTGGGCAAGCAACCATTGAGAGTGAAATTCTTTTAAAAGCATTTGCTGGACACAGGACTTGGTTCTCAAAATTCCAGCATTAGCACTTATCTACAGTATCATGGGCATTACAGTGCCATTGAAAATCAAGATGCAGTAGCTTATGTTAATGCAAGACTGACAGACCCACATCTGATGGCAATTACCCATACTGGGGGGTTAATAAATGTTCTTAGAATTACTGTCTTTATTTTCTTTATTGCAAGAAAAATGGGCAGCTTCCTAAGCCGTGCCTCCTGCTTCTTGCTACCAGCCTTGGTGACTTGATAATTAACTGTTTTCATTCCAGTGCTTCATGGGCTCTTCTGAGTTTAATATTCATGTTAGGGAAATGCTACGTCCTTTAGCCAAAGTAGTAAAAATATTAAATTAAATTCAGCAAACATTTATCCAAGTACCCTTTAAGAACAAGAAATGAAGACGTATAGAAATAATAATAATAATAACGAGACTTGGATGCATCAGAAGAGTGTCTGGAAAATGAATGCACACTGTTTTTTCCTTCTAGAAGGGAGCGAGCTTAATTTTTATTCCTTTTCTGAAGGGGTTTCAGCACAGGTGTGGCAGAGAGAATTCATCACACTTGCCAGCTCTGATCAATCTAAAGTGGCTCCCTGAAGCACTTTGTTAAGAAGGATCCTCATGCTATATCCAAACTCAGTGGGAAAGATGTTATGATTTATCAGCAGTGTCTCTCATGCTATGGGGTAGGGGTGTGGTTACTCATACCATGCATTTGCTGTGCCTGCTATAGTGTCATTCATCTTTGTTCATATTCATGCTCTATGAATGTGGTAGGCAGAAAATTGCTGTGGTGGAAATGTATGCCTACTTTATTTTAACTCTTTAGAGTCAATCCAGACTTTGGAATATCTCCAATACTAAGTTCCTGAAATGATTGTGATCTTCGCTTGATGGGATTTTAAAGTTTTCTTCACATTAAAGGCTATTCTATGTCTGTTTCAAGAGGTTCTTAGCTGTCTGTAAGGCAAATTGGGGGTAGTGCATTAGTAAGGTTGTCAAGAAGACAAGAAAACACATACAACTTTTGGGGTCCTGTAGGATTTAGGAAGCAAATTAACTTTGGTTTGTGATGCTAAATCTATAGTAAGAATTAAGGTTGTACAACCACTCTGATGGTGTGGTTAACTTGTGAAGCTGTTTTGCATACCTACTTGGAAAGGAATTCAGAGATCAGGAGAGACAATTCAATTCAATTTATCCTGTTATGTCCCCCAAATCTTGGGCAGCTCAGTTTTCTCTAGCCCCTAGTTTCTATCTCCTAAGCCTGACTGCCCATCAGAATCTCTCAGGCAGGTGGTTAAACATTCAGATTCCTGGAATCTAGTTCAGACTTATTAAATCAAATTCTCTACTGACGAGTCCTCATAATTGGAGCTTTAATGAGCTCTTCCCTGGTTCTCTCACAGCCAGTGCACTACCACCTTCTTGCTTATGGATAAAATGGATTGCCGGGATTGGGGATATATTCTGCATACTCCTATTATCCTAAACCCAGCCATTCTTTTCCACTCTCTTTTCATGATGACCCCTGTAGACTTCATTTAGCTCCTCTGTAAAAGAGGATAATAGATATTGCCTCATAAGGTTACTGTAAAGATGAGGTAGGTTAACGTATAAAGGTTTTTTGTTTGTTTGTTTTGAGATAGAGTCTCACTCTTTTGCCCAGGCTGGAGTGCAGTGGTGCAATCTCAGCTCACTGCAACCCCTGCCTCCCAAATTCAAAGGATTCTCCTGCCTCAGCCCCCTGAGTAGCTGGGGTTACAGGTGTGTGCCACCATGCCTAGCTAATTTTTGCAGTTTTAGTAGAGATGAGTTTCACCACACCAGGCTTGTCTTGAACTCCTAACCTCCAGTGATCTGCCCACCATGGCCTCCTGAAGTTGGGATTACAGGAGTGAGTCATTGCGCCAGACCTAAAGTTTTTTAGGATGGTGCCTGACAGAGGTAAATATTGGATGTGTTGGTTCCAAATCTCATAATTGTCATCATCATTTGATTTCATTTACAGGGACACTGAGTATCTTTGCCAGAGGCAGCAAATCAAATTATAATATCTTACCAGGCTGTTGTAAGAAGCAGAAGGTATACAAAAAGCTTTGCTTGGTTGAAACACTATTTTTTGAATTTATGAACATGTAAACATAGAACAGTTAGGAGGCTTTTGACTGTAAGAAACAAAACGCTGTAA